>NC_000008.11:3989706-4291991 GCF_000001405.40 Homo sapiens | reverse complement strand
CGTCTCAAACTCTGATGAAAGAAATTCCTTCTGGACACCAGGCTCCCTGCCTGCTTTTTCACATAGGGCAGAAGGTTCTGTTCCTGCTTGATGTGAAAAACAAATTGTCCACCTGAAAGGAAACTTCTAATTTCACATGAGTTAATTATTTTGCAAAGGCCATATGGTTTACATGACATTTCAGAACCAGATATTACTTGTCTTATATTAGCTCTTAAAAGTAGCTAGTTAGCCTAATATTCTTTAACTTTTGTCTCCGCATATAACTGATTAGACTGGGTTTATGAATTTTACCACCCGTTGAATAAAGAATTTTGTATCTTTCTGGTAGGAAATGTTCTCCATATTGCGGCTATAATTTAAGAAAGAAACATATCACAAGAAAAATGACCACAGAAATTAAATATTACGCTTCAGCTTTAATAAAATTTCTACACTAAGCAATTTTTTTATGTGTAAATCAAAATGTACTTTCCGAAAACAAGTGAAATGTCAGAATCACTGGGAATTAGTAGATAAAAAAGAAAAATACTTCTCTCTTAGTTAATTCAAATTCTACCATGCTTTGGAGGTTGTATTTTAATTATGGAGATTTACTTTACATGGTTGTAAGTATAAATTTGTATTTTGTTTTTATATGTAATTTATCAATTTAAAGGAAAGTATTATGATCATTATCCCTAGCTTTTAAATATCTTGACTTTTAATCCATATTTATCCTTTTGAATATTTTCTTTATTACTTAATATTTGCACATATCATAAGCATATTATTTTTGTTTTTAAAATTAAAATACCAATAATGTATAATTATGCAACACTAAAGAGAATATAGATAATCCCCAAACCATATTAAGACTCAGATTCCTGTCATAGAAACATTTAGAAGTTGTGTTTGTATTACACAAAATAAAACAGGAAATTCCATTATTATTCCCATAATATTTTACACTAGGGTACAAAGAAGATCTTATTTTGACATCATTACATATACATTTAACAAATACAATTTAGGGAGATGAAATTTTGCCCCTCTAAATTTTAGAAAGAAATGAATTAAAGCAGTTGAGTTGAAGTTGTGAACTGGCGGAATTACAGAGAGCTGACATTGTAAAGGATGATGAGTCACAAGAAACAGATGGATATTTTCATTTTGCTTTGAATTATTTTAATTACAAATTGTGATTTCTTGAAAGTAAAAGCTTACCAAAAAATCAGACTTACAGAATAGAAATCCTAAATGAAACTACAGATAGGGAGATAAAGTTAATGAACATTATCAATGTCATATGCTCATTATTTTGTAGTTGAAGCTGCTACTTAAACCTGGATCATAATTATGAATATACTTCTCACAAGGAATCTTTCCTAAATACAGCATCTACCTGTCCTTGGTAAATTGTATGAAGCATGGGAGACAGAAAAGCTATGAATGGCCCTTCTTCATCTTTGTTTTCCCCCATAACTCAGAGAAACATCATCTGTCCTTTTTTTCTCATGCTATGAAAGATGCAGTGTCCCTGACCCTTGTTTAAAATTGCCCATAGAACAGCATGGAAGTTCAAATCTCATGTTAGAGACCTTTCTGATCTGTGTTTACCACTTCCTACGTCTTTGGGCTTCTCTCCCTCCATTCAGATGTCATAGAGCATTACTGTGTAGAAATTCAAACACGACCATCTGAAATTTCACATCTGTAGACATATGTGAAAACCATGCTTTTCTTCTAACAAACATCACCCTCGGGCCTAAACACATGGGTTTTTGCAGACACACATACAAGTGTGTTTCCTTTGACTGATTCTTTCAAAAGTCCACGCAACTCTGCTTTACCTGGGAAGCATTTCCTCACCACTCCCTGCCTGTTTGTATTTGATTCCGTTTGGTTTTGTTGCACATCTGTATGCCACTATAAAAAAGACCGTGCTGAATTTGCAGTTGTTGGTTCTGGTTAAACCTTAACAGTTGCAGTGCACAGAGTGCTTAGCACATAACACATTCCTTAAATATACAAGCTGAATGAAATAATGAGTCTCCTCTCAAGAAGAGGTCAATAATGATTCTAATTACTCACTTGCACTCAGAGGTACCATTTGATTCATTCCTGTTTTCATTTCTTGTTTGTAGCAAATACACTTTGAATATCTACTCTGAGCCAGACATTAGATTAGTTTGTGAACACATGGCAGACAAAGGTGGATACCTCCTTTTAACTATGGTGCTTCCAGTACGGTGGAGATGTTTTATTCACAATGCATTACCCAGTAGCAAAATCTCAGTAGCTGAAGAAAGCAAAGCTGAAAGTTTTGCTCATGTCTTGAGCACATGTTACTCAGGACCATGGACAGCTGCTCTACTCCGTCCAGCAGATCCCCACCATCATCCACGGCACCATCGTCACTGCCAGACCTGGACAAAATGTGATGAATTCTGAGTGGGAGACACGTGTCAGATCTGAAAGTGTTACATCTTGCTCATACTGACAGTGGACAGAACTCAGTTTATGTGGTCCAAATCTGGCTACTACTGGACTTGATGGAGTCATTTAGAGTGTTTGTGCAAAAAATAGGAGAAACACAGGCCCTGGCTCCCTCTACTTTAACTAATTGATCGATGTTAATCTATCTTACCTATAAGAAAAGTTAAATGTATTTTAAATGTATGGGAGTTACGTGATAGCAATCTCATATATAATGGGTGAAATTATGTAGGCAAATTAGCCTAAAGAGGCTTCCAGGGAAAACAGTTGAATAACAATATGAGAAATGACCGACAGGTATCTAGAAACTGGTAAAGAGTATTTGTCCGATAAACTGTTATATAATATACACTGTCTTAGAACGGGTGTTAGAAGAACTGTAACTAGTTAATTCATTTTGTAAAATTTTTCTTTTGCTGTTACACCAAATATAATTTTATTTTCATCCATATGTGCACTGTTTTTATGCTCATTATGACAGTCATTGCTTGAACAGATAGCTTGAAAGATGGTGCTGTGTTTTTAAATTATTTTTATGCACGTATCACCATTTTTACAGCTGCCACACTATTAGTGTAATTTAATGTTATATATGGAATGAGGACTTTAAAAGTAGTTGTTAAGTAACTAATATTTACTCTTAAAATAATTCATAGCATACTGGTATCCTATATTAGTGCTTTACTGACGTAATGGGACTTGATTTTGCTCAATGTTGGCTGCTACGTAGACCTGACAGGTATCAGATCTTAGAGTTGGGAGGTTGACCATCTGAGAGATCTTGGAATCATAGATTTGCTTAAAAATCCACTAGAAGACTCTACAACGAGGTTACAAATGTTGAAAAGGAATTTTATTGGGGAGGGCGGCAGAGTTGGTGGCAACATCCTTCACCTTGAACCCAGTGGCAGGAACTCCAGCTGCATGCGTAGAGCTGAACTTGCATCCATTCACTTAGAAGGACAAGTCATAAGGACAGGATGTGGTATCTGCTACTACTGGGTAAACCTAAAGGCAGAGTGGGATTACCCATAGCCTCATCGTCAGCAGTACAGGAGAAATGGCTACAGCATTGAATTGAATTTCCTGAGTTTGTGTGAACAAGCCTGAGATATTTGTAGGTCATTCTTGTAAGATAGCCTCTCTGGAATCATTAAGGTTTGCTTAAGAAAATTGAAGGGTGAAGGGAGCCCTTCAGGGTGGCCCCAAAAATAGTACCTTAGGAAAGGGAGCTTACTGTTCCCAGTGGGGGCATGTCAGAAACTCATGAAGGCACCCAGCACTGCCAGGCCCTGAGTGGACGAATCCATCCACTGCAGTACCAGTAAAAAAGAAAAGTGTTCTACTCTCTAGTGTTTTCTTTTCTCAGTCAAACTTTAATGCTGCAGGAACAGAAAGCATGGCTAGCAAAATAAGTAAAACTAAGGCTCAGTAAAAGTAAAGAAGTTTTATATCCTCCTTGTTTTAGCTTTCTGTCTTTTGATGGTTGCAGCTAAAAAAGGCAGAAGTTTAACTTTAAATCAAACCTTAATTTTATTATCATATTGTCTTGGGATTTGCTATCTGGAGAAAAGTTTTGCAACTAAACATGACCATAGATATGTGATGGCTTAAGAGCAACCTGGGATGTCCTGAGACTGCCCTTGTTTTCACCTAGGAACAGGGGAGGCACTTCTCCCACTAAATGCATTCAGTGGGCCACAGAGAGGTTGGAGGAGAGATAGTATGAGTCCAACTCGCTCAACCGACCGGGTCCACTTTCAGTGGCTATTTGTGTGATGTTGTGTAACTTGCTAACCCTCTCTTTCATACACTTACAAAGTAGTAGTAATAATAATAATAATAATAATAATAATACCACCTATGACGAGACTGCAGCCAGCATTTAATTAAGGTTATGTAAAGTACTTAACCTGGTCCCTGGAAGGTAATAAAAGCTTGCAGACATTAGTCCCCCGTCTTTGTTATCTATAACGATAATGGGAAGCTGCAACATGTGTGGTGTAAATATTAAGTCTTAGAATGTAAAGTAAGTTTCCTGGGCTTGTCATTTCTAATATTACTCAATATTGGACGTAAGAAAGGGTAGTTAGAAAGAAACCTTCTGGTGGAAATCATGGGATGTTGTTCCATTACATTGTTCCTCTAGATTGTGTGCTTTCTTAAAAAGTATCATTAAAGTAACTTCTCCAGATGTGCTTGATTTATCTGAAAATAAAGAGTTACACAAAAATACTAATTATATTCAAGGAATGTGAGGGGGAATCTTTTAGAACTTGCCAGGAAATAGAGGCAAGATATCTAATTAGCTATGTGAGTAAAATTAAACTGTTTAGTTCTAAATTACACAGAATCTGTCCACATAGTTCCACATTAACAGACTAGGTGTTGAAGAACCCTTGTTTGTTTTGTGTGAAGTAGATTGAAACTCTTTTTTGTTCTCTCAAGTTACTAAGCCTTAGTGTACAATCATTCTCTAAATGAAGTTTCTTATTTTTCAAGTGAAACTTAGCCCTTTTTCTTTACTTGGCGTGGATGTCAGCCTCCTTCAGCTGCCTCTATGGAATTGTTATTGACTCCTATCCAATAACAAAACTGATTCATTTGAATCAACTCCTTGGCCACAATGGAATGAAGTGGCCTCAAGTGTAATTAGTGCACATCTCCTAATAACAAACAGCAACAGCAACTGAAAGATCAACTTTTGGTTTTCTAGGAAACATTCTCAGCCAAACAGGCGATGGGAAAGAAAACTAATATTTATCAAGCATCAGATGCTGGGGAGTCTACCGTGTGAGCTGCATACATTCTCTTGTTTGATTTCCACTGTGGCCCTACAAAATCAGTATGATTGCTATCCCCTTTCTTGGAGGATAAACCTTTCTTCGAGGTCAAGTGGTGTTCCCAAACCTAATAGATGAGGCTATCAGGTGCTGGTTTTGGGTGTCCTCGTGATCATGCCCATGTTCTTAATGATGAGACCATATTATCTCAGAAGAGTGTCTTCCTTCCTGTGCCACAACCGTCTTATTAAAATGAAGAGGCACAATGGGTAATTCATATTGCAACCGACTAAACATACTCTCCATGATTTTTCTCTGTCTCATGTTAACTGAAGCCCTTGGTGAAGGACTGTAGTTTTGAACTAACATAGAAGGAAAAACGTTGTTTTTTAAAAATAAAAGAATGTTCCAAAGTGACAAGAACAACGGCCCCTGAGGACAGATAGCACTAAGTAGAAGCAAGTGAGACATGGAGAGCATGGCGGAGAGACGCAATGGAGCTTGGCAAGAAGGAATTACAGAGTTTGCAGTCGGGAGAAAAGAAAACTGGAGCTCCTCTTGACTTTTGTTTATGGTACCAGAAAGAACGTAAAAACGTTATGTGCGCATATCGTTAACGTGAACGGTCACATAAAGAATAATGTGTATTTCTCCAGCTGTATTTCGGACTTAGGGATGTAACTACAAATTCCACTAAGCCAAGGCAGAGAGAGCTTTTTACAAACCTGCTTGCTGTCAGAGGTAAAGGTGACTCACTGCATACGTGTAATTATAGCATTGCGGATATATCATAGCCACTTAAAAGGTTTGTGCAGATGGTATTTAAAATACTTCAGTTGGATTACTTTCCAGGCTGGAAGAGACCACAAGTAGATTTTGTTCCTGATTAAAATAGCCAAGGACACATGATCTTCTGTGAAATTAGAGGGACACCTGGAGAAGAAGCAGAGCCTGCATGTCTTAACAAAGCTATTTTGACCTCTGAAGTTCCTAACAGGATGAGAAGCCTGTGGCCCTGACTGTTTTACTAGTTCTGGAAAGCTCCATTCTTCCTACACCACTGCCATTCAAGAAAAGCAAAGACCAACCATCTGTGCTATTCCATTTAGGGCAATGCTCAGGAAATCAAATTTCCCAGCTGCCTGGTCCAAAATCAGCATTAGCGAAACCTGCCCTCATCCATGGAGAGAAAGCCCTGATATCCGAAAACAAGAGATCTGTCTTCATCCTCTTTATATTTGGAAAAGCCCACTTTTTTTCTGTATTATTTCATAATTCTGAACTAATACCCTTGTCTAGGTGTTTCTTATGAGAAATGTGGTTCAAGATTCATGGCCACAAATTCATTTCCCTCTAGAATAGAAAGGCTGCAGTTTCAGATGGGAGTTCTAAATGAAATATAAAGTAAAGGACTGCACATGGCTTCAGAGAGTAATTTGATTATTTAAGCAAGAACGAAATGGCATTTAAGGCTACAGTCGGCCTGCTGTATGATGAAACCGGATTGTATACAAGCAGTTTGAATTTTAACACACTCCTTGACATACAAAAACATAAAATTCATGGAGTAAAACTTGTGGACAACCAAAATATCTGTAAGTTAAAAGGACTTTTCTCATTAGCATTCATAATAATAGCAAAACTTTCCTACACACTAGGCATCATTCTGACTATTGTGTTATGCTTACAACAGTTTTATGGTGTGGACACCATTATTATCCCCATTTTACAAATAAAGGAACCGAGGCATGGTGAGGCGAGGTGAGGTGAGGTTACTTTGCCCAAGGTCTTACAGGTAATTAACTGGTGCATCCTGAAACTGAATTCAGGAAAGGAGGAGACAGAAAAGTGTTTTTTAAACTAGTTTTTTTTTGTTTTTGTTTCTTTGTTTTGTTTTGTTTTTGAACACGGCCACATATATTGAAGTTTGTAAAATATGTGTGGTTTTTGGAAAGAGCCAGGCAAGTGGTTAGAAGAAGGCTATCATCTGACACATGGAGTTACCCTCCTGGGAGTCGTAGAAATCCAAATTTTAGTGTTTTATATCTGTCAAGAGTGTTGTGGGGATCCTCCAGGAGTCCTGAGTCCACCCTTGGAGAACAGTTGCTGTGAGTTTTACCATCTTTGCCTGACGAGAATGTAAATATTTTGCTTAGACTGCCCAATAAACGTTGGGGCTGGCATATGCAAGTGTGTCGCGCAAGAACCTATACCATATGGGAAGGCATGGTGCGCAAAAGCAACATGTGGAAACAGAAAGCCACATGGTGACGGGGAGGGAACACGGAGTGGAGGTACCCTCCCGCAGTGTTTGTCTCTCCTGAAGAACAACCTTTCTCTTTTTGGGGAGGGTGGGTGGGGGGGGTTGTAGTTTCTCTCTTGTCCCCCAGGCTGGAGTGCATTGGCAGGATCTCGGCTCACGGCAACCTCCGCCTCCTGGGTTCAAGCAATTCTTGTGTCTCAGCCTCGCGAGCAGCTAACATTACAGGCACGTGCCACCACGCCCAGCTAATTTTTGTATTTTTAGTAGAGATAGGGTTTCACCATGTTGGCCAGCCTAGTCTGGAACTCCTGACCTCAGGTGATCCACCCTTCTCGGCCTCCCAAAATGCTAGGATTACAGGTGTGAGCCACCATGCCTAGCTAATTTTTGTATTTTTAGTAGAGACCAGGTTTCACAATGATGGCCAGCCTGGTTTCGAATTCCTGACCTCAAGTGATTCACCTTCCTCGGCCTCCCAAAGTGCTACGATTACAAGTGTGAGCCACCACCCCTGGCCAAACTTATTGTTAATAATGGTGTGTCCAGATTTGCAAACATTCTAGGATGAAAATGTATGTATAAGACATGGAGAAAGACCTGGAGGTCAGCACATGAAACTGTTAGCCATGCTTCTGGGGCAGAGTAGGATTTTATAGGTGGGTAAAGCGGATTTTTTTTTTTATTCTCCTTTTGGTTCATGTCCAGAATTTTAATATGATAAAACACTCATGCATTCCTTGAGGAGTTAAAAAGAATAAAAAGTGTGTGCTTCTCAAAAACCTAAGTGAATGTGGAAAACTGAGGTGTGTCTGTTGGGTTTTGTCCATCTCTACCCACATTTCTTGGGAAAGTTTCGTGTCCCCAAGGACCTGGGTTTCCTAAATTACATGTTGAAGACTTTTAACTATACGACATATATAACTTGAGTTCTATAAAATGATTGTCCTTAGTTCTATAAAATGATTGGACAAAAGCAAAATATATTGGTACAAAGTGGGAGTAAAAATGCAAGAGATAATTTGCATTTGGAAATCCTGTACCCAGATGAAAAGAATGTGTTCTTAGAATTAATTCACTTCATGGCACACATACCCTTTTCAGATGGCAAAGATGTTCGCATTTATACAGGGCAGCAGTGAAGGAGAACTGAAGCTACAAATCAATAAACAAAATCAAATGTCACAGATGGAAAATGTGCATTAAAAGTCTTCATCTAAACTGTTTGCAAAAGGATAGTGGATACTTTAAATTTAGAAAAATCATATTCATATATAATTTTTAAATGTTGTAAAAAAGACTCTCAACGTACCTTCACAAAACCAACAATTGAGTGTTTTTATCCATGATTACTGGTAGTAATTTCTAAAGTCTGCTAAAAAACAGGATGTTGACCTTAAAAACAGTCTGTTTCTAACTATCAGGCATTTTTTTTAAATGAAAATATAATCAAAGGGATACAATGCAGGCAGAATGACTAATGTGCAGTAGAAATAGTAAGAATATATGAGACTGAAAAGTGTAGGGTCAGATTTGACATTAAAATGTTTATACAGCAATGAACTGTGGTAAGTTCAACCATTAATGTAAAATATAATTATGATCTTTAGAAAATGAACGTTTGTCAGATTCTGAATGATGCTTGTTGAATCTGATATATACCCGACTCCATTATGAAGTGTAATTACTATAAAAAGCTCTCAAAATACTACCATTTAAACATACTATTGCTACAAGTAATTAAAATTGTTCCGATTATAAATGAGTTGTTAGGATGCTGTCACAGCCAACTCAGTTCCTAACTGGTATTCAAATAAATAAAACTGAAAAGGTGAATGCATACAATATACTAACTACCTTTCTCCCTGACTGTAATCTTCTAAGATCAATTCATTTAAGATAATTTTATGGTGCTGCATAGAAAAACACATTACACATTAGTTGCTTTACAAACGCAAAGCTTAGAGGGAGATAACGATGTCATACTAAATTAAATAAGCAAAAATGGCACCATTCCGTCCTCTGGCAATAGGACCTTGCTTGGAGAAGAGGACATCCTTGGGATGTTGATGTGCTAATGAGTCCGAGAAAATGAAGAAGAGAGCCCTCTTGTCCAGTGGCCAGAAGATCTGTGTTATGATCTTGACCCTTGGGCGTGCTCCAGTGTTCCTGAGCTTCATCAGTTCTATCTGTAAAATGACAGGTTCACATGGATTATATTCACCTTTGCATGCAGTTGTAAGATTTTATGTTTCTGTTTATTTTCACAAAAAATCACTATTGATCAAAACGTGACTTCAGAAGTTATTTTGAAATCGTATTTGAGCAATATTGTATAACTTTAAAGTTTACATAATTAAAAATACTCTTGGATTAATAAAAGAATGTTTTCCCTTGGATGCTACAATGTGCTACAACCCAGGGAAAGTGTTTATAACAAAGGCTAATCACATCTCAAGAGAACATGAATTCACCTTGCTATAGTTGAATGCATTTGCAATTGGTAAACCTGATCAAGCCCTAACAGGCACATTCACCAGCATCTATGTCATCAAAACGTCACTTAACCTTTATAAGCCTTTGCCTTGTCATTTGCAAAACATTTTTTTAATGCATGTTAGGTGTGTTTATGAGGCAGCTCTAGAAAATCAGTGTTTTACAATGTAATAAGATTAAGTTTTAATACAGTTATCACTTTATTCCTTTATGTATTTTGAAAACAAGTAGAGACATTACATTGATTCCGTTTAATGTTTATACAAAAAATGACTTGTATGTATATGTTATCACATACAGATGTTACTATATAGAATTATATGTCAAGTAAGAAAGCCCAACATAAAAGTTAAAAGCTTTAACTTTTGGCTATACATACTTCTTAGATTCAAAAAACAGAAAAAGAACAGTCTCATTTGTCACAACATTTTAAAGGACCTTTAATGTGAGCTTCAATGCATAAGATATTTCAGTAAAACTTCAGAAATTTGAAACAGAAGGTTGGAGTGTGCCAGTCTCAAATTGTTTCCTTCTGAAGTGTTAATTTCATAGCTTTAGACATGATAATTTAAAGCTGTTTTTTGGTGAAAAACCACTGGTTTATGCAAAGACCTTATGCCGTCATCTTACTCTGTGGGCCTGGGACCACCTGTTCTCGCAGTTACTATCAGGTTTTCATATCTCTACCTTCTATTTTCCCATAATGCTGTCGAGAGGTTATTTTAATTCCCTGAGATCATACTTAAGGTAGCAAAGTATTTTCCACTTTTATATTTCCAGGTCCATTTTATTTACATTTGACCTGAAAACCATCAGTGGGTCAGGTGCTCCCGAGGGCTGAGTGCCACCTAGGGGCCAGCAGAGGCCTCATACCATCCTGGTACACCTCTGGGGCAGCCTCTGCCTTGGAAGGTGAACACATGAAGCCAGAGAGACCAAGGAACAGAATTTTAAAACTCACTTAATTTTAATACATTTAAAAACCACTACTTTATTCTATTACTGGGAAACTTTCAAGTGTGTTTGGAAAAAACGTGGATATGTATATCTACTTTTGCAATTGCAACTTCCATGACAACTAATTACCAAAAAAGTATTTCTAATGCTGTATGTTTACAGGAAGTAGAAGAAATGAAGATAAAAGTCTTATAATTTATACATTTTTGAAAATTTTAACATACGTTCAAATAATATTTTATATATAGTAACATGTTTTTAAAAATATGGGTACTAGGAAAGTACAATTATATTTATGGCTTACACGGTATTGCTATAGAGCTGTGCTCATCTAGACAAGGTTAGCATTTTGTGAGCTGATTCACACAAGCCTTAAAATTTATTTACAAAGTTATTATCAACATAGGTTTACCTTCAAACAGTACCCATTTTTCCCAGCATAGCTGCAGTCTCAAGTTCTAACAGTGTTGATATGCAAATGTGGGCACTGTAAACAATTTGCTTGTATATTTTAATTTTTCTGTGAAATGTGGAGGATATACTGAAACAGTGATGTATGCAAGTGCTCAGATTGGTATCCGGTCGCACATTTCGGTACTAAAATTTAATTGTCAGATTCTAGACAACTGAAGAAAACATGTCGTGTCTATTCAATTATTATTTATTAGAAATTATTTTTTCAGAACGTGGTAACATATCCACTCTCTTTCAAAGCTTATTATATACTACATTATAAAAACGTGCTAATATCAAATACTGCAATATACAAAGCTAACTATATGCCTAAAGAGAGAAAGTAACCTTTGATTGGCCTATGCTTGCTTAAGAAATAGGCCATGGTAAAATCTTCTTTTAAGCGTACTTCTAAATAATTCAGAATATTTACATTTGAAGTGTACGGTGTAATGAAGAGAGCATACAAAACAGAGTTATTTATTTTCAACGCGTTAGTTAACGCTCAGCGTTCTAGCTATGAGTTCACTGTGTTCTAGGCTGGGAAGGAAGCAGCAGATAGGCCCCTGTGTTTCTGTTTGAAACACCAGTATCCTTTGATGTTCTTGCCCCTATGTACTTTTCTTGTGATTTGTATCTTTGCTTAATAAAAAATGTATAGAACACAAGCTTTTGACGCAGTTGGCATCTGCTTCAGATTCATTTTTACTGACAGTGAGCTGCTGCAGGCAAGCACTCAGTCTTTTTATCATCAAAAAGACATAATCCAACACTCCTGGCCTCCTCCATATCTTACGTAGAGTTTTATTTTTTTTCTTCATTAGAAATGCTGCATTGAAAATTGCAATGAATGACAAATAGAAGAAAATGCACATTCAAAGTTGGCTAATTATAAGTTGAACAGGGTTAAGATACTCGAATGAGTTACCACATCCAAAGTTAAGCATTTATCCTTTCATTGAGTCTATTTGTTTAGGGCAATAAAACCGTGTCTGCAGAATCAGTGTATTAGAGGATACATTGCTAAAGTTGCACTAACCACACTGTATTGACATTGAGTAATAAAGTCAGTATTCCTGCTCATGAAAAAACGCTATTAAATGGGCTACTGGGACTTGGAATCTTATCCAAGGACAATACTGCCAAAAATTCACATTTAATGGTGATTCAGAATCCAGGAAGATACTTGACATTCTGTTGAGATGTCCGTTTGCCACCTGTATCTGTCTAGTCTTGTGTGTGACTGTGTGTTTCTTCATGACTTGTTTGAAGCAGTTGGCTTTTTACACTAAATATAAGTGTTTCAAAATGTGGCTTGCACACTTGTGCCATCGACTGCTTAATTGTGTGTGTGTGTTAGTGTGTATACTGCGTTTACAGAGACAGACGAAGCTTGGCATGGGGAATAATTTCCTTTGCACGTCTAAACGGAGATGCTCAGAAGTTTGCTAATACGGTTGGTGTTTTTTAAAAAAAAATTAGGAAAATGTTCAAACATAAAAACAGTAGAGTGATGTTTATGGAAAGTAATGTGTCCATAGCTCAACTTTAACAACTGTCAGTAAATAGTTATAACAATATAGCAATCTTATTTCATATATGGACATAATGTTAATACAGGGAAGGGCAAGTATTTTTAAATGAGGCTTGTTACTTTCAGAGAAGTTATCCTAGCAGTCTCCCTTTATTACATACATACTGCAATTGAGAATGTAATTTAAAGTGTTTTTCCTATAAATACTCCAAGAGCCAAATTTATAAACACAAATGAAAGCATTCCACATAATCACACTTGGCTCTTTGTTCAGATCTTATACCAAGTCAAACAGAGATGATAGTGGCAGCAAGTTACAAGCTGGTTTTGTTAGCCATTTAAGTGGCTATAGACTGTTCGGTATGTTAATAAAAAGCTACACTTTATGTTGAATTCGTAGCTAAAATTTGAGTTTCCATTCATGAATTTATTTAATCATTTTCTAAAAATAGGCATATGTTATCTAACGTTTTGTTATATGTTTAGTATTTTAGTACCTTACTTTAATGGTAAAACTCACAATTACTTTTGTGTCAACCTAATATTAAAATGCTGCTTTCATGTTAAAAAATTATATTTTATATAGCTATAGCAGCATCAGATGTAATTGTATCATGTGGCTCAATATGTATTCATATTCTGTATAGCTGATAATTTTATAGTTTCAGTTTCCTTATGAATTTTAAGTCACATATTAGCCATTTTGTAGATTACCAGCACTACCGCTGTGTTTTTAACCTCCTTGAACTTTACACTCCATCCATTGAAAATTAAACTGAATTTTAATCACTATACTTCACTGAACACTTACCAAGCTTGGCTCTATTGAGCACTGGAATTATATATAAATTGTGAATGTAGTCTGAAATTCAAGAATAGATTCTTCTCTTTGGTGGAAGTTATATGAGCATAAGGAGAAAGAGAACCATAAAGGATTTTATAAATGTAGCATTTTAATTATTGTATTTAAAGTTAGGGAAAGGGGGTTGGGCGCCGTGGCTCATGCTTGTAATCCCAGCACTTTGGGAGGGCAAGGCGGCGAATCACGAGGTTAGGAGTTCAAGACCAGCCTGGCCAGCATGGTGAAATCCTGTCTCCACTAAAAATACAAAAAAATTAGCCGGGGATGGTGGTGGGCGCCTGTAGTCCCATCTACTCGGGAGGCTGAGGCAGGAGAATGGTGTGAACCAGGGAGGCAGACCTTGCAGTGAACCGAGATTATACGACTGCACTCCAGCCTGGGCAACAGAGTGAGACTCCGTCTCAGAAAAAACAAAAATAAAAATACATTTAGGGAATGGGTAAGGTCTAATTATGTTAACACTTTAAGGAGTTTCTTAAATTCTGTCGCTTGTGTTTAAATCAGTACATGATACAAACAGGTTGTTTCTGCATATCCTTGTGAGAAAGGGAAGTATGAGACACCTCATAGTGAACTTGCTGTTTTCATGAGTATAGACATGCAGCTCTATCCATGTCTATAATTTCAAGAAAACTCTCTAGATATAAAAGAAAAACATGGCACCAGGAAACAATGAGAATATGCTTTTTTAAGACGGTACATTTAAGTATGTGGTGAGGAGGTTGACTGAAAGCTGACGGACAGCTATTAGTTGATGGGGAAATGGGGGCTGGGTCAAGCCAGACACCTTCAGATTCAGAGATGAGGCACGAAAGAGGAGTGAAAGGTCAGAAATCCAAGGGAAGTCAGTCCCGTTCCCTTCAGTGGATTTTTAAGCTTATTTATTCAGAATACAACCCAACTTCATAAGAAATTCTTAAAGATTAACAGCAGTATGTATGTGTCTGTGTGTATATATATATATATATATGTTATCTGTAGATGACATATAAATATGTATGTATAGTGTTGGATTAAACTATGGCTCTATATAGTAAGGGTTTATGAAGGAACTATTTTTAATTGGCAGAAAAGTTACATGCAATTTTATAAAACACACAACATTGTAAAATGGATAGTCTGATGGCATCCTGGTAATTTTTTTGACCTTTCTCTGAATTTAAACTTAACCTGGAGTTTATCTTTTTAAAATATGTAGTTTGTTTTCATTTGTTGGTATACGAAAACATACACAGGCTACTTTGAAATGAATTCCAGTACTCTATTACATATTTTAACTATGTATTTAAATGTTTTTAACTTATTTTCTGATTAAGGAAATTGAACATTTATTGTATTTCTGAAAAGAGATTTAGTTCTCAGGGAAAACCACTGTTCTATTTTTCTTTCCCCTGAGGGTTTTCCTTCTACACAGAAACATCAAAACACATATACATTTCCTTTTATTTATTAAAATTGGGATCCCACTGGAACTAAAGACTTCGTTTCCTGAATCAATGACCAGAAGGAAAATAAGACTTTGAATCACTACTTCACTTAAAATTATGTGTATCACTTTTTTTATTAAATTTATTTTTATTATACTTAAAGTTCTGGGGTACATGTGCAGAACGTGCAGGTTTGTTACGTAGTTAAACATGTGCCATGGTGGTTTGCTGCACCCACTAACCCGTCATCTGTATTAGGTATTTCTCCTGACAGGCCCTGGTGTGTGATGTTCCCCTCCAAGCGTCCATGAGTCCTCATTGTTCAACTCCCACTTATGAGTGAAAACATGTGGTGTTTAGTTTTCTGTTCTTGTGATAGTTTGCTGACAATGACGGTTTCTAGTTTCATCCATGTCCCTGCAAAGGACATTAACTGATCCTTTTTTATGGCTGCATAGTATTCCGTGGTGTATATGTGCCACATTTTTTTTAAAATTCAGTCTATCGTTGATGGGCATTTGCGTTAGTTCCAGGTCTTTGCTATTGTGAACAGTGCTGCAATAAGCATATGTGTGCATGTGTCTTTATAGCATAATGATTTATAACCCTTTGGGTATATACCCACTAATGGGATTGCTGGGTCAAATGGTATTTCAAGTTCTAGATCCTTAAGGAATCGTCACACTGTCTTCCACAACGGTTGAACTAATTTACACTCCCACCAACATTGTAAAAGCATTCCTATTTCTCCACAGTCTCTCCAGCATCTGCTGTTTCCTGACTTTTTAACTATTCATGGTTTCCTTTTTACACAAAGTATCATTTAAACAATCCTGTTTTTGTGCAAGTTAATTTATTGTTCATCCAATTATAATTCATGCCTTGTGGAATAACATATAAAATATAACAATATCACTTTCATTAGTATAGATCATTAGTCATGCCAAAGTTATAGCATTTTAGAGTTTTTATTCTGTGACTAAAGTGTTTTGCACAGGTGTGTGTAAAGTTATACTCATTGTGAATGGAATCACACTGAGTATTATCACTAAAACAAGCTTTGCAAAACGTATACAATTTTTGCATTATTTGCATTTTTAGGAAGATGTGCACATGAATTTTTGTATGCTGAGGTTAAAAATTACAATATTACCTTTTATCTATGCCAATTTTAGGAACACTCAGAAGTTTTGGAAGTTCACCAATGTGTAACAGTTACAAAAGCAGCACAGTTGTTTGTTTTCCTATCACTCCCTCTACGAGATCTGTGATCTACACGTAAAATTTTAAATAAAGGCCATAGTATCATGCACACAAATCAATGTATTTATTCTCCTTTGTCCTTTCCTTTAAAACATTAAAGATGATTCCTTTAATCTTGGCACTGAGTTTCTTCCAACAAATACACAACACAGAAGCTTTATACCTTCTGACCTTACAGTTTCTGTTCTTAATAAAACATAAAAGAGAAGTCATATTGCTTTCATTTCGCCCATATTTATTTGTAAAAAAATCAATAAAAACAAACTAGACAATAATTTATCTTAAAAACTAGAAAGAAAAAACCCCAGAAAATGTAACTATGCCGTAAAAGCTACTCTTTTATTGACTATCATTGGTTATCTTTATAAGGCCAAGGGCTTTCATTTGTTTTTCTTATATCACTAATCTCATTGTTAGAAGAATTTCTTGGAGCAAGTAGTTTAAGGGATACCAATGGAAAAATGTATTAACTATTTATACCTGTCATTCTATACCACACACTCTGCTCAGCTACAAGCATGTTTGTTGATGGCTCTCAAGAAAATATGAATGTGGCCAAGACACAACATTTCCTTCTGGAATATCTGTGAGCAAACCTTTTGGGTACTTGAGTCTGGGAAAAAATAAAAGCAGTACAATAGTTTTCAAAGCAAAGCAGTCATAAATTTTGTTGAGGGTGGCAATATTTTTCCAAGTGATAAAAAATTCTAATAATCCCGTATCTCCTGATCACAAGGCAGTTTAGACACAAGAAATGCTATGTATTATGTTGACTTTGCACCTGATGCACTTCTAAGAAACATTTAATTTTATTTTAAGTAAATTTAATGGAGACCTATAGATTTTTGTTCGATATTTAATAGAAATTTCATAGATTAATCTATTAATAGAATAGATATAATTTAAAGAACAGAAGGCCTTCCCTATAAACACAGACCTCTTACTATAATTTGTGGACTAAACAAATATTAAAGAAACAGTTATTTGCTTGGATGTTTCAATTAATGCCATTACGACTGTGCTGACGATTAATCAATAATGCGTTTGCAACTCTTGGGCACCAGAGACATTTTGAGCACGTTGATAGTGTTTAAAATCTTAATTTTGTGCTCATAGTTTAGAAAAGTGAAACGTAAAAAAAGTCATGTGTTTTTCCTCCCCACGTATGCCAGTTGGGTGATACTTCACGTTATAAGCCTGATAGTAGCAGCTAGAAGAAGTATAGTGTTAATAAAATGCTGATTATTTCAGAGGCCTGGACTTTATAAACTATTTTCTTCTCTGGTTCTGCTTTGATGTCTAATTTAACTTTGCAAAAAAATACATTAGTGAGTATTAGAGTCACTTCTAAGATAATGGAGGAGGGGTTATTTAATATGTTCCATATAGTAAATGAGTTATATATTACAATAAAGTCACAGTTTCTTACTTCAACTCTGCATTTATTTTAAGTGACATAGAATATGCTGAAAAAATGCATGCGGTTATCACTGATAGCAATACAAATGTCGTTCTGAATACTCCCAGGACACTTCAACAGCCTCCATAGAAAAGTAATCCAGTGATAATGGTGAGAGTCAACACTTACTGAACACTTAACACCATGTTAAGCACAGCAAGTATGTTATATCATTTCACCTTCACAACCATTTGGAGAAGTGACCAGTACAGGTTTCACCAGACATACACGCAGACAGAAGCTTACAGAGGCTAAATCATCTTGCTGAGCTGTCAGTGTTTTGACCCAGATGGTCTAGCTACAAATCCTTTTAACTGAATATTCGAATACCATATCCAGGTTATAAACTATTTGCTACAGATTACTGCTCTCTATTAGAGTTTCTAGATAAAATACAGAAAACCTCATTTAATTTGAATTTCAAATGAACGACAAATGATAAATATTTATATTAAAATATATTCATTGCTTAACTGAAAATTGAAGTTAATAGAATGTCCTCTATTCTTATTTGCTACTTAACTCTCAAAATAAGTTTATTAGGCATTTATTATAATTTGCTTCTGAAACCCCAGAGTTGAAGATAAAAAAGTATAATTGACCTGAGCAGGGTTGCACCGGTTATCTGATATGAAATCCAGAAACCCATCCATTTCTCGAATTACCCGTAAATATGAATGGAATAGCACTTTCATGACTTTTGACATAAAACTGGAAAAATTATATACATATACTCACATTCATTTGTGAACTAATACAAATATGCTCATTGCCTTTTTATAAGTTATATTTTATGAGAAAGACTGTCATTCAAGTGTATATTCTTCTTACAAATGAGTTATCCAAATCTCTTTTAAAAGATAAAGGTAAGAGTAAATGGTAATTTTCCCTCTATCATTTGGCTCTTTGGCTTTCATTTGTTTATATTTTTTATACTTCTTCCTCAAAAATCAAATGATGGCAACATAATGATCCCCATTTTTAAATGATAATAGTTAGAAATGTCAGGTACATGACGCAATAGCTGTTTTAAGCATGTGGTTTTCCTTCCTTTGTAATTAAAAATATTGTGAACTAATTTCCTTTCTTACAAAATACTTCTTATTTGATTTCTATGAGAAGCTAAAGCTACAACTTAACAAATTTTATCTATCGTTTTATCTGTGTGTCGAGACTTATTCATCAAGACTGATACAAGCAAAGGTATATAGTGGTGAGTTAGAGTAAAGGTCATCTCATACTAACCTCCTTTACTGAGAGTTCATTCAAGAATTACAGAATGAAAAATGTACAGTCAAGAATTACAGAATGAAAATGTACAGTCTTCCAAATATATTTTATGTTCATCTACAGTCGGTTTGGAGTGTTAGGAAGAATGCAATTATTTCTCACCTAATTCAACAAAAACAGGCACATAAAAGCCCTGCCTTCAAAAAAGGTATACTGCAAGTAAATAACTGGTATTACAAGTTTGAAGCAAATCACTTGTTATGCATGTGGTTTCTATGTATTTTTTGAAATACTGTGATCGTGTATAGTTATCTGTGCCTATATACTCATAGAATCCTGGTTTTAGATAGTTTTTCCTATGTAGTATGATATATGTAATCCTCATTGTCTATAGGTCTTGGAAACTGAGACTTCAGGTGAAAGGATGTACAGCAATTAGTGGAATAACATGCTTTTGTTCAATGTAGTTTTGTTATGACATTGGCAAGGAAAAAAATGTTTTTCTATTTATAAGTTTTCTTAAAGTCCCAGATTCGAAGAACCTATTAAGGGCATAAAGTACTATAGTACTAAGCCATAAAGTACTATACCTATTAAGGTCATACAGGAAAACTAGCTGTACCAGCATGCTGAGATTAATCTAGTAAGACTCCATGTGTCCAGCCACACACACACACCCCTGACAGGTGTGGGTGTACAGTTGATAGTTGAACAGTGCAGGTTTGAACTACACAGGTCTACTTACATGCAATTTTTTTCAACCAAACATGGATGGAAAATAGAGTATTCACGGGGATGTGAAATCCATCTATATAGGGAGGGCTGACTTTGCCCATACATGAGATCTGTAGGGCAGGTATTTTGCTATGTATGGGGATCCTCGAACCAATCCCCTGTGGACACCAAGGGAGGACTGTATGCATCGTGGAATGCACTGTGCCTTTCAAATAGCGCTGCCAGGACCAAGTAATCACATGTAAGCTTGCAGCTGGAGGAGTAATTCATAATGTGGAAGCTGCATCCATTTTTGTTTTATATGTATAAGTATATTAATCATATACAGGCCTGGGATTTAGTAGTGAGTTAGGATTAATATACATATAGTGATGTATACCTTAAAGTGGATGTATTTTACCATTTCTTTTCTTTTCCTTTCTTTAAAGCTGCTGCAAAAGAGCTAATTCTCAGGCACCTGAGATTTTCTTTGCCTTTTTTTTTTCTCTCTTTTGAAATGTAATTGTAATGGTGGTATTTTGTTGGTGGTGTTCATTTTAGATCTCCTGATTTTGATGCAGTTTTTTCTCTATGAAAAATGTATTGCATTGCAGTGAGTTTTTCTTCAGTTAATGAGGAGAGTCTCCTACAACATTTCAAACAGGGCATCAGGCAAAGCTACGTATTTTTTAAACTTTTATTTATTTATTTTGACATTTTCCAAGCACTGCCAGTGTTTCTTACTAATGAACGATTTCACCAACCTCTGTGGGTTGATGGTTGCCTGCTGTTAGGGCACCAACCCCTACAGCTTCATGGTCCTGAGTGTCCACTACGCCCTGATTCGTGTATATCGCATTGCAAGTATATATATGTTTACATCTATCCATAAATGAAAACATATGTAATGCAAATGATATCTGTAGTGACAATAATTCAGAGTAAGCTCCAGGCAGAATGAGGAAATAATAAAAGGAGTGGACTTTGAAAGCTTCAACATTCTGAACTTTCTGCACCAGCTCTTCTAGGAAATCTTTCTTTAACTCTCTTCCCACTAGGACCTGCTCTCATAACAATTTAAAATGCAATCTCAGTAAAGAGTGAACGCGGTGACAGTTTAAAGTGCTCCCTCTCTCTCTAGGGGTGTCTCATTTTTCACAGCGATCAGCACCTTGAGTTGTTTGTTGAAGGAATGAGGTCCTCAGAGGGGGATTTCAAGCATCAGTGAGTAAGTGGGGAAGTCACGGAGTGTGGTGGGCGGCAGGGAACTTTCTAGGAGGAAGGAAGCCACAGCCCCCTGGGGGGTGCCGTGCAGGTGATGAGTAGCACTGTCCTCAAACACAATATTTCTATTTTCACATTACAAATGAAAATAAGGATCAGACGGTTTTAGTAGAAGAAAGGAGCTACATTGGCAGACACGCGATCTTCATTTGAGGGGCAGGTTTAATTCTATCAGAGTCAAAATCAGGTTGAACAGGAAGTCGGGCTATAAAATGTGTAGTCATCAAACATAATGGGGTTCAAGCTGTACTAGTCACAGCTGGATATCAGAAGAGAGGAGACTCAGAAAAGCCTGGAGATATGCCACATGGGGAGAAGAAAAGCTCTGCGGCTTCTCTGTGATCTTTGAAAATAGATGGTTTCAGAAAGTAGAAGAGCCAAGGCAAGTGTGGCCGAGGGAGATCATGGATGGAGACGAAGGAGAACAGGAGATGAAGTGGAAACAGAGTGTGAATCGTGGTTTGTTAATAAAGCATAAAACCAGTATAAAGACTGGGAAGAAGGTAACTGTAGTGAATTAATTAAAAATGAGAACTATTTGTAAGAGACATGAGAAAGAAATGCCTGGTGTGATTTGCACCGTAGGAAACACGCGGCTATGTCAACTCCTTTCTAACCGCTTGCCTCCTTCAAGTCTCTCGTCCACATTCCAGCCTCCCTATCACAACCAAAGTCTCAGAAAGAGATTGCTGAAATATTGATCTGATCATGTTTCTCTCCTCAGAAGCTTTTCAATATTTCATCATTAATCATAAAACAACAATACACTGCAGAGTTGAAGCTCATCTTATATATGGCCCCAAGCTCAGGTCAACATTTTGCTGTGCCTCAGAGAGGTCGTGGTTTCCCCCAACTGTTGGCTTGAACGCCCTTCTTCCTCCATCTGTAATGGAATTCTGTAATATAAACTCCAGTAATGATGCAATAACTTCAAGACATTTTGTAGGGGAAGGATAGATTGGCACTACTTGTAATTCTGAGACTTCATTGGGTATCACCTGTATATAATTTTCATGCTTTTTTATGAAGATGTAATTTTGCAGTGTTTTAAGTAGAATGTAAATATTAAGAATTCAACAGATGCTGGTTAATTGATAAACTGCAAAGAAACAAAAAATTTTATTTTGGATCAGGCAACCTGATAAAGTCATGTGTGATATTTACAATATACGTATAAAAAATGAGGTTAAACTGTATGTGAAGGATGCTTTCAAAAGATTGGAGAAAAAGGAAAAAAGCTACCAGATGAATGCGATATATTGAGGGCTTTTAGTTAGATAAAAACATGCTTCCCATATTCAAAAAAGTCAAAGAATACATGAGCTCTGATAAAAATACTTGATTAAACTTCAGAGAGAAAATTCTCAATATCAAAAGCTACACAGCCTTAGGAGTGTGGTTCAAAGCACAATGAAGATGAAAATGGAGCCAGGCACAGTGGCTCACACCTGTAATCCCAGCACTTTGGGGGAGGCCAGTGCGGGTGGATCACCTGAGATCAAGAGTTGGAGGTTCAAGACCAGCCTGGGCAACATGGTGAAACCTCATCTCTGCTAAATATACAAAAATTAGCCGGGTGTGGTGGCTCGGGTCTGTAGTCCCAGCTACTAGGAGGGCTGAGGCAGGACCATGGTTTAAACCCAGGAGACAGAGATTTCAGTGAGCCAAGATCACACCACTGCACTCCAGCCTGGGCGACAAAGTGAGACTCCGTCTCAAAAACAAAAACAACAAAAAGACGAAGATGATACCTTGGAAAATGCACCTCATTGTGTATTTTACTTTGCAATCAGGAAATTAAGAAAATGTTTCATATATTGAAAAAATAAAAGGATACAGCAGAATGAGAAAGTAATTGTAATTCTCCAAATAGCAAGCATCTTGATGAGTATATGATGCATTATGAATAAACATTCTATGTGGAAAGGGATTTGTTTTATGAAAATCTCTCCCATATTAAGATTACTTGGGGGCTATTAACCATTTTATAATGTCCTTTGTGATGTCGATGTTATTCAGATATTTGTGGGTTTTTTTTTTAGCAATTTAATAGAATTAAGTGGGGGTATTTGGTTATGTTACTTCAAAAAAAATTGAGATACACATATATCTTCCTTATTTTGTATGTACTTGGAATTTACAGAGATTTTTAGGTTTTCTGTGAACTTGACTGTAATCCCATAGCTACTCTTGCAAAAATAAGTCTTTGGAAATGAGGATATTCATCTCTAATCTTTCAAGTAAGTGAAATAAAATTTAAAAAATCATTTTGACTACTACTTGTTTCTCTAAATACTACAAAATACTTAGAAACGTAAGCAGCGATACTACCTTTCAGTACCTCAGACTTGCTGTGAGCTATAAACAACAATTGGTCACTGCTACAATAATTACTTCCTCTTGAGAGAATTAACTAAGTGTATTGATCCAAGAGGAAAACATTAGTCAAAAAGAATCTAATTAATATTCAGGTCATAATGGTTTTATATGTAGCTGTAGTCATCATTTTGTTCAAATATAGAAACTCAATTAGTATTTGAATGCCATCTTTTGCTCACCTTACAATTATTTTCTTTAAACAGGATGATAATCCTTTATGGTGAGTTGATACAGAGTCCAAATTAAGTTGTTGTGAAAATACATTTTGGATTTGGACATATGTTTAACAGTGTCAATATTCTTGGATTAGGTTTTTTGTAACAATGTTTCAATTTGTGGATTGCGAGGATTTTGAAATTGTGAACACACTTTTCAAGAATGACCTCGTATATATGTCTTATTCCTATCTGCTCCCCTCCACCATCTCACTTGTACTGACTCTAGAAAATAGATCCAAAAATGTAGTTTGAATATATATGAGGCATGAATAAGTGAGTCCTATTTTATTTCAGTCATTACAGTGTTTAAAAAAAATTTAATCACAAGTATATGGCTATGACAATAATTCAAGCTAAATTATATACACTTTATATTTTGCACACCTGCAATGTACCTTTTCATACCATTGTTCAATATAAAATATGCATTCTGATGCTAAGAGTGGCACCTTACAATTTGGAATATCTTCAGAACTTTGGTGAGGATGTAAAGTCATGTAAGACACTAAGGAGGGAGTGAAGCCAAAGCCTAAACACGAAGTATGCAAAGATATGTATTTAATTATTAATATTTAATATAAATGTCCATTTTTTTCTACCAACCAAGAATGTGTCACTTATTGTGTCAGTGACCATTGCTATTTCTATTACAATTGGAGTTGCAGTGTAGCTGGGATCAATACTTACTGCGTTTAGATATGAAGACTTTAATATTAATATTCATTTATATTCATTATATATTATTTAAACTATTTTTACTCTGCTGTAGAAGCTTATCATTTTCTTCACATAGATCTTTCAGAGTTCATAGTTAATCCTAAGACTCCCTTTTAAACTCTTATTGTTACTTTTTCATCCTAATTGCTATTTTATAATTTTTAAATTATATTTTCTAAATGGTTATAGCTAATACATATTAAAACATGATATATTTTCTAAGTAGCAACTTCATTGAACTCACTTTTCTTTAATAACTGTTGTTAATGGATTCTTTTGTTGTGCATTTTTTGGAATTAATGAATATTATCTTCACTGTTTCAAATAATTATACTTATTTAATTCTCCCAACTAATTGCATTAGAAAGCACTTTCAAAAAAAAATAACATTGAAGTAAACAGACACTCTATTCTTGTCTCTTTAACAGGAATGGTTTCTGTTACATTACTAGGTTTTATGCTTTTGTTTTGTAAAAATCACAAAAGTGATTTTTATCTTCTTAAGTTCCAAAATTGTTAATTTTATTCAATAATAGATATTTTACTAAATGTCATTTGGTTTTTATTAATCAGTTTGTTTCTTCTTCCATCTTAACACGTTGAATTAATATGTTTTCAAATATTGAATCATATTTTTATTTTTGCAGTAAATGAAAAGTCATCACAATCCACTATTTAAGTTTTCATCTAGATTCTCTGTGCTACTATTTTGAGGATTTATAGATCATCAAATTTTTATTAGACAAAAAATTAGAATTTTTGTATAATGTATAAAACTAAGTATAATTCTTTGATAATGTATTTTTCAAGTTATATCAATGTTCATAGATGACAAATAAAAATGTTCAACTGCAGGACAGGTCACTTTACGCCATTAGTGGGGACATACCTGTATGGTGTACTTGTTTAAAATTGTTTTTCTGAAGGAAGGATATGAGGCATGAGTATGAAATTGTTCTACTTTTTAAAATTTAGTGAATACTTTGACAGAGTTATAAATTTTATCCTTGGCTTCTATCTAACCAATCATCAATATAACCTAACATATTATAATGAAATCACATTATTACACATAAAATGAACTATATTAATATTTTCAAATATATTCTTGAAAATATTAAAAAGTTGTGTTTGTTTTTCTCCAAAATCAACTGTTTCTAAGACCTGGACAGTTTCTCTTACATAGAAAACAAAAATTTATAAAATTTTCTTTGGTATTAAATTTTTAAATGAGTTGTATGGAAATGTGTTACCATTCCACTTAGAAAAAATAACGTAAAAAACCTCCAACTTGGTGAATAACACTGGGTTTTTGGTGGTAGATGAGTAGCTGAAGTAAAAAGGTGGTTTTAAGTCAGTTCCAAATGATCAATATCAGCTAATATGCCTGGTGAGTCTATGTGCGGTGGGCAGGTGATCAGTATCAGCTAATATGCCGGGCGAGCCTGAGTGCGGTGGGCCGGTTTGGGATGACTTACACAGCCCAAACGCACACAAAGTAGGCATGGAATACAGTGGGGGCCATGGTTCCCCGTCTCCTGGGCAATGGGGGGAAATCTATTTCTTCACATTTTATTTTGGATTTGTGTGGGAATCTTTATCTGTGGGGACACCATGGACCTATAGAAATAGCTGGCTTTTAGGGTAACCAAGTTGATAGGTAAATGGTGAGAGTTTATAAAAGTCAACATCACATTAGGGAAACTTGAGCACTGACTTGCTCTATTTAAAGTTTTCAAACATTTTATGTTGCATTAACTGTTTCCTAATCGTAACATGTCAAATAATACTGTTCAGAGCCAGATCATTTATCAAAATGCTGACAGAATTTTTCCCTAATATATTTGTTTTTAATCTCATTATTTTTAATAATTATCCTTGTTTTGTATTCCATAAAATATAGCATAAAACATAGGAGTATATGAATAGAATTTGTAAATAAATAATTTTTAAATTGTACTATTAAATTTTGCTATTTTTGAAACAGGTTCCAATATTTATTTTTACCAATAACAGTCGAGGTCAAATTAAGTTAGAGGACACTTTTTCAACTGGCTTTGAAGAACTCTGAATATGGTGCATTAACTGTTTACTAATTGTAACATGTCAAATGATACTGTGCAGAGACAGATCATTCACCAAAATGCTGATAGAATTTTTCCCTAACGTATATGTTTTTAATCTCACTATTTTTAGTAATTATCCTTGTTTGCTATTCCATAAAATATAGCATAAAATATATGAATACAATTTGTAACTAAATAATTTTTAAATACTGTTACACTTTGCTACTTTTGAAACAGGTTCCACTATTTATTTTTACTAATAATAGTCGAGGTCAAATTAAGTTAGAGGACAGTTTTTCAACTTAATTTGAAGAGCTCTGAATATGATGATTCTATATAAGGAGCAGCCTTTGTATCAAGGCAAATCTGACCTCAGCAACATTAACTTAAATTTATATACTTGACATATTGATAAGTGCTTCTTAATTGTTGCTAATTCAGCTGCATATTTTATCCTGTTCGAAATATTTGATTCAAGTAGAAGTTTAGAAATGGGACTTAAACCCAATTCCTACATGTTTTCTCTGTTCATCGTCCTACCTAGGGCACTTAATTTACTCATCTAGGATTGAAATTATCCTTAGTTTATTGATGAGGCACAACAAGAAGAATTAACTTGTCCAAGTTTATGGCGCAAAAATGGCCAAAGAACGTTCTAGATGTTACTGAGGATGTTCCCTACCCCTGGGCAGTTAATCAGTGTTTGTTTTAAGGCCCTGTTCCCCTTATTCTGGGGATGACCACCTCGGTGAATATGGCTGTCATGTACCTGGGTGGGACAGCAGGTGAGAAACCCTTACTGCTATCTACCCTAGAACGCCGAGGAACCAGTCTTCCATAATAAAATGCTTGCTAACCCTTAAAAACAGGGCTTTAAGTAACGGAGCTTCTCAGCTTCAGGGGGGGTACACATTAGCTTGTAAACTAGAACGATGAGAGAATTGTGATCTGCAAATTTGTGTACCAGTAATTTGTTTTATTAAACTAGATCCTTAGATACATGTGCAACCTCTGTGGATGTTTCTTGTATTATCTTCTAAAAAGTGGAAAGACAGGAGCTCTTATTCTGAATGAGTATTTTTCCTGAAAATTGAATGTCATGCTTTTTGAAATTCTACGTACAATAATGTGTTACTATAGCAATGTTTGAGTCTATTCTTAAAATTATTCCTAAGACGAGGAAATTCTAATAATTAATTGTAGTCACGTTGGTAATCATCATCATCACCACATAACAGCTTCTGCATAGTGCCCAAGAGCTGAGTAGTAGGTGTTGTATTCTTTACCTACAAATGTCACTCCATTTATTCTTGATAGTTTGATGTTATCATCCTCATTTTATAGATGAGGCTCAGGTAGTTAACAAACTTGCCCAAGTTCATGGAGCTAGTCAATAAGAACGATCTGATTTACTTCTAAGACATGTTGTCTCCTGAGGCTATGATTCTTCTGCTATGACAAATTGCATTATATAGATAGAAAAACACTGTATTTAGAAAACTGCAGGACTATTGTGTCTATAATTGTTCTGAGCATTCTGGTCAAAACACAAATAAGTTAATGTTTTTGAGTGCTATCAAAAATTGGTTTAGAAAATATGTATAATTTAGGTGAGCCAGTCACAATTGGAGTAAAGATTTTCATTTTTATTATTTCAGCTAGAACACATACATAAAAATCCAGCATTTTATTATTGTTGCCAGTAAGATGCTTCCTTAAATTAAGGTGATATAAATAATTCAAAATTATATTGGTCATAGAGTTATTGCTAAGATGATATGGTTTCCTATTTGACAATTTCCTGGATTGTTGAAGGTCAGTGAAAATTGACTCATGATTGTTGATTATGACTTTCCAAGAAAGACATCAAAGTAGCTAATATCAAGTGCCAGAGAAGTAAATTAACTGCCACAGACAGAGCTTCAGGATTTGGACTAGTTTGGAAGGAACAACTATGTCACAAATCTAAAAGCAGTCCCATACGATGTTTTTGTTTACCTGAATGTAATAGAAATGTGGTCAAAGCAGGTTTTTTATTTTTATTCTGTTGCAGTTTGTTCACCATAACTCCAGGGGAAAGAAGTCACAGAGGCCCCTTTTGGTGGGAGGAGTAAATCTGTACCGTACATTTTTGTTTAAGAAATCTAACCTTTCAGCTTACAGATTTTTTTAGATCATTACCCAACAGCCTAGCCTTTAGCCCTCGAATACTAGAATACACGGCACTAGAATACACAGCTAGTCAGAACATTGCTTTTACGTAATACATTTTTGAAAAAATAAGTGATATCACCCACAAGAAATAATACTGCTTTTAAATGAAAATTAATATATCTCATTAAAAGTGTTCTCATAGAGAATACAATTCTGTTCTAACATTCATTAGACTATTTGGCCAAGACAGAATTAGTGACTGAGCTAAAGGCGTATAAAATGTGATTCTACTTGGAGACTCAGTTTCCTTGGCTGAACTAATGTTCTTATGGTTCATCATTAATTTAAATGATGACTTCTGTGATGGCAGTTTTGAGTTGCAAATGCTGTTTTTATTGGCTTAAAAGACAGTTTTGATTAAAGCCAAGGCTTAGAAAATTCTCATTGTCTCTGGGTATCTGGTGGAACATACTTCCTTCCTCTCCATAGCTGAGTTTGCAAGGAAGTAAAGAAAAACCTCAGGGCCAAAAGGGAAGTGGATTTTGGGACCTGAGTGATAACTTGAGGCTGGAGGCTGAGGGTCCTGGTTGGGCACGTTTTACTCTTTCAGCCCCAGGCTAACTGGGTGGCGATGGCTGTTTGAAGCTCCAGGGTCCTGAAGATAAGGAGTTGGAGCTGAGTTTCCTCCGTGTGTGTCCCGAGCATTTCAAATGCATGATCCTCATAAAGGCTGAGTTCAAACTTAAAAATCAGCCCACCAGCAAAAGGAAATAGCAAGGGAAATATAATATCTGTCTTTGCCTGCACTGCGCGGGGAACATGAAAGGATGTTCTTAAATTTCTAACCACAAACCTGCCTTTATTCTGGTTTGGGATTCCTTTCAGCCTGCTTATGTGTCCTGGGAATCCCAGATTGCAGAAATGAAAAAAAGAGGCAGGGCTAGTGCCTGTGGACGCCTGGCAGCAAGAAAGGAAGAAGCTCAACAGAGGGAGGGCATCCTCCACCATGCCCCGGAGTTTCACTCTCAGATCCAAGTCAAGTGTGAGTCCACAGGCTGAAATTCACCCAAGAGAGTCAAAAGCAAATGACTCTGAATGAGAATCTACAAATAGCAGAATTAGAACTCTAACAATTCTCTATAGGAAAGAGAAGTAACAGTAATAGTGACTAACTTTAGAGGTTAAAAAAAATCAAGGTAAATCTAAAATATGGGACAATAATAAGGAAGGAGTACTAAAGATTAAGCAGTCTCAGAATTTCACTCATTCCCAGGAAATGACAGACTTCAGGTTTTAATTTTTTTTCTGTTTTGTTACATTGCCATATCATTCATGCATTTATTTATATTTGGATTAAGTTCCACATCTACTTTTTAACACATTTTGTCTAGTTTCATTAGGGTATAATGAACAAAATCTTTATACATATAAGGTATATAATGTGATATATTGAGAAATGATTACCATTATCAAACTAATTAACATATTCATCACTTCACATAGAAAACATTTTTCTGTGTGTGATGGGGGCATTTAAGATCTGCTCTCAGCCAGAAGAGGTGACTCATGCCTGTAGTCCCAGCATTTTGGGAGGCCGAGGTGGCAGGATTGCCTGAGCCTAGGAGTTCAACACTAGCCTGCGCAACATAGCAAGACCTCATCTCTATAAAATAAATAAATAGGTAAAATAAAATAAATAAAAAGATCTACTCTTACCTTAGCAAATTTCAAGTATATAATAACAGTATTACTAGCTAAAGTAACCATGCTGTACATTAGATCCCAGGGCTGATGCATCTTCGAACTGGAAGTTTGTAAACTTTGACAATTATTCCCCATTTCCCCTCTCCCCAGCCCCTGGCAACTACCATTCTGATTCTAATCTCTATTTCTGAGAAGATGTTCTTAGATTCCACATCTAAGTGAGATTACACAGTATTTTTCTTTCTATGCCTGGGTTATTTCACTTAGAAACAAAAAGGAAAGAGAAGAAAACAGGCGTTCTTTTTGAGTCTACTACACAAGATTCAGGAATGGCTGGTCCTCCTTTCTCTAGTAGCTTTTAACTTAATCATGATTATTTAGCAGAATAGACAACTTTCAAGCCAGTAGAAGGGAGAAAAAAGAGTCTAACAAACACAGACATGTGTAAATGACACATAGAAAAATTATATATAGCACAAAACAAGGTATCCGGAATCCTAAATTCACCGTTAAAGCATAGTAAGTGATGTCTACGTTGAACTTTGTATTTTAATTGAATGATACGTTGTTTACAAAAGAGGCAAGTCAATGAGAGTAAAGGTAGAGTAGAAAAATACACCAGGTAAATACTAACTAAAATAACCGTGGTGTTCCTATCATAATATCAAACACGACAAAGATTAAGATTTGTCTTTCTAACAAAAAACAATTATTGGAGACAAAGAGTGTCATAATATACATAATAATTTTCCAGGAGAGGTGACAGTGCTCAAGTTGTATGTCCTATATAACTTAGCCTAAATTGTTTAAACCAAGTATGATAATATTATAAGAAGATATTAATAAACCAACGACATGGGAATTTTGGATTAACCTCTCGCAAAAACTGAAATTATATGAAAATCAATTACAAGGACTTATGAATAATATCAAAATTCTAAAAACCACAAATATGTGTTTTCAGAAACAATATTACAAACTTTTCTCCAGGAGTCAATAAAATCCAGGTATTCTGGCTATGTGCTTGCCATTTGACTAGTGTTCTTTAACATTGTTTGCCTTGTATTTACTTCAGGTGAACAATGTTCACTAACATCCCCAACCCACACTCAGTAAAGTACATACTAGTATATTAATAAAAGTATAATTTTTAGTGTTAACAAAAACCCGAAGTATACAAATAACTCCTACAAATCAATAGCAACTCAGTGGGAAATCAGGCAAATAAAAACAGACACATCATAAAAGAGGAAATTGATGTTCAATGAACAAATACAAACATTAATTTCACTAGTAATAAGCGGAATGCAAGTTGAAATAGCAAAGAGGTAGTGTTCACCCCAATTAGATAGGCAACACCTGATAATAATCAATACTTGCAAGGATGCCACCTGATGGGACTTAGCCACTGTAGATCAGGTGCATTGACTTAGCAATTTGTTGAAGAGTCTAGCAATTTCTAGTAAAATGGATGTTTGTGATCTCTAAGACAACACTTCCCTTTCAAGTATGTGTTAAAAAAAAAAAAGTGTGCACAAGAAGACATGTTAACTGATGTGCTTTATAGGTCTGTTATCAATAGTGAAAAACTAGAAACAATTACATTTGTTAGCAAAATGGATATAATTTTGTAGTATTATACAACAGAAGAGACTATGCGGTAGCAAAAAATAAATTAACTTAAGCTGCAATATTTTAAGGTGGATGAATTCCAAAACAATATTATGAGTAATGTGCCAAATAATAGCTTTATATTATTTACATGAATATTTTAAATTTTTAATCTCTTCTTCTTAGGGTTTATGAAATACATGTGTATGTGTATATATTTGTGGCAAAATTATTGAAATGTGTACATGATGAATAGAAATTTCAGGACCCAGTACTGCCAGTAGGGGAAGAATGGCATTGTTTTGGGTAAGGACTCCGACTATATTTGTAAAGTTTTGAAGTTTATTTTTAAAACAATCGTTGATCGGTAACAGAGTATTACTTTGTAAATCAAAAAAAAAAAGACATTTTTTAAAAACTCGAACTTTGTTGAAGGATGGGCCATAAACTTTATGTATGAAAATTTAATTTTTAAGCCTAAAGCTTAAGGCATTTTCATAGCGCTGGGATGGGTCCTGGTATAATTATGAAATGAATGAAGCTAGTTTGGGAGCTCCTCCTGTCCTCTCCTTTCTTGAGATCCGCTCGCTTTCCTGTTCTCAGGCTGTGATTTTCCTGAAGAGGGAGGAAAACAGTCTTAAGACACTGTTCATTTCAAATGCCAGCCAGGGAGGGGGGTTGCTTGTTTAGGAAAAGATTGTCTGTGTCCCGCATTCTCTCTGCGATTTGAAAGCCGTTGTGGGCTGGAAAGTGACTTCTAGAGTGCATGGCCCTTAGCTTCGTGTGTGAGATAGTTTGGAGGTAGGCCTAATTAGCTCTGATATTTAAAGTACGACCTTTCAGAGGTAAATGCTACATCAAAATCATCAGCGTTCAAACTCAAAGCAGGGTCTTTGCACAATTTTTCCTTTAAAGTTCAACATTTCCAACAAACGTCTCTTCTGCAGGAAATCTTTTAAAGTCTTAGTTAGACATTTATACACCTTAGTGTATTAAGTCGATGAAATAAGTTTGTCTATAACATAGTCTTAGAACAAAGCAAAGTTTAAAACACATGGCACGGCCAGGTAGAGATGAGACTTTTGCAGCCGTTGTCCATGAGGAGTGGGGCTCCTGATCTTTCTGCTGCTGTGCCCTTAGAGTTGCCTCTAAATATTCAGCTGGTTACACATTCTAAATGTTAAGGACTAAATGTCTGTGTCCTCATACATTGCTGTGTTCCACCCCTCATCCCAGTGTGATGGTATTTGGAGGTAAGTCCTCTGGAAGGTGATTACTTTTAGATGAAGTTCTGAGGGTAGGTGGGGCCCTCATGTTAGAATGAGTGCCCCTATGAGAACAAGGGTTCCCTCCATCCCTCCTTCCTTCCATTCTTCCCTCCCTCCCTCCCTCCATTGTTCCACTCTTCCCTCCCTCCCTCCCTTCATTCTTCCATCCTCCCCTCCGTCCCTCCCTCCCTCCGTCCTTCCATCCTCCCCTCCCTCTCTCCCTCCTTCCATCCTCCCCTCCCTCCCTCCTTCCATCCTCCCCTCCTTCCCTCCCTCCTTCCATCCTCCCCTCCCTCCTTCCCTCCCTCCTTCCCTCCTTCTCTTTCTCCCTCCCCTCCCTCCCTCTCTTTCTCCCTCTCCTCCCTCACTCTCTTTCTCCCTTTCTCCTTACCATAATAGCTCACAGCGACAGGCCTTTAAGATAGGAAGGGGTAGGGTGTGCTGGCTCATGCCTTTAATCTCAGAACTTTGGAAGGCCAAGCCAGGAAGATTGCTTGAGGCCAGGAGTTTGAGACCAGCCTGAACAACATGGTGAGACCTCATCTCTACTAAAAATAGAAAAAAATAGCCGGGAATGGTAGCACGGGCCTGTAGTCCCAGTTACTAGGGAGGCTGAGGTGGGAGGATTGCTTCCCCCTTCCACAGCTGTGAGAAATAAATGTCTGTTGTTTAATCCACTTATTCTATGATATTCTTTTATGGCAGCTTGAGCAGACAAAGATTCTAATGATTTTGAAAAAGGCTATTATTTTTAAAGTGGTGGTTGTTGTTGTTAGCCTGGTCACAACAGAGGCAACAGAATAATCAGTACGCTGTAGCTGAATAATGACTGCTTACTTTCTGTATTCCCTATGCATGCAACCTCATGCACATTAAATGCTAGTGGCATTCCTACGAGGCGGATGCTGTTTTATCCTTGGCCTAACAAACGGGAAAGCGGAAGCAGAGAGGTATTTGGTACCCAGTGACACTGACGTTAGAATCCATACCTAAGACTGCTGCACCCTGAGACCTATGCTGTAACCAATGTGATGTATTTCCTGAAACAGTAGGACAAACTTTTCACCAAATTTTCCTATCCCGCAGGGAGAGAATTTTATAAATCTCTATTTCTTATTTTAAAAATGTAATTGAAAGGACTTTATTCAAAACTGTATTGAAAAAGGGCTAGGAAATATGAAAATTAATAGAAATATATGCATTCTTAAAACTATTAAGGAAGGAATTCTTAATAAGCCTAAAGAGAGAGAAAAGTGCAAATCCATGATTATACATGAGATGAAGAAAAATGGTAATATATAATTTTCTAAAGGAGAAAATTATTCAACCCTTGAATGGATGGTTAAAAATAGTTATCATTTAAAACTGTATTGTAAAATAATAAGCCATAACAGAAAGGGTACAGAAAGACTGGTATAATAAAATTAAAATACATGGCAGAATAGTATTAGTCTCTTTCAATAAAACTCTCATGCTTAAAAATGTAGTACCATAATTTATAACTCAAGGTCAAACTTTTAGTAATTTGCCCTAGGTAACAAATGTGGTGAGTATGACTCATATAGAGTATGGCGAGTGTGGTATTAAAAAGTTCTAAGAAGAGACTGTCAATTTTAAAATGATGACACAGGCACTTTTCCTAGATGGCTTGATCCCAGTAGCTTGCATCATTTGGAAGTTACATACTTCTTCCAGATTGAATACCTCCAGCCTGTGATTAGAGGTCAGCAGCCCACGGAGGGAAAGCGGAAGGAAAATAAATTCTGCAAACTCATTCTGAACCACATCGTCCAGTAGCGATTCTCCCCCTTTATGCGATGGTGACTCTTGGAGGGATAGCTGTTCTTTGCTCATAACTCGACTTTATGCCAGGCCCTGACTGCTTGGCCCTGTTGCAAGCTGCTTGAGAGCAGGGCACTGCCCTGTACCTCACTGCCCGTAACTGTGCCTGGCGCCTTCCTTCCCCCACACCACGCCCGGCCCATCTGCTGGGATTCTTCCTGCAGTCACATTAGCCATCTGTGACTTGGGGCGCCCCCTTTCATGGGTCTCACTGATTCTCAAGGTGGTTTTCTCTAAAGTGAGGGTAAACCCCTTCCCATGGGGTTTTAAAGATAAAAGTAAATGGTGATGTCATTTGATTGCCATGTTTATAACTGTTTATTTCTTTATACACTCACTGAGAACCTCCCTTTACCAGTACTCGGTTAATTCATGTCTCTATATCACCTCTTTTAATCTTCACAATTCTGTGCTATTTTCAGAGGAGAAAAGAGAAATTCAGAGGGGTGTAGTAATCAGAGCAATGTATTCATTTGAGGCCAAAAGTAGGAGCTAGAAATTCAGAGCTGGTCTTTCTGCAAAATTGTTGTACATTTCACTCTGCATCATAAGCATCGTGAAACCTCTGTTAAGGGACTCAAAGCAGAGAGAGAAGGTTGGTTTGAGCACAAATGCACTTACTTTGAGTAAGGACAAATCACAAACAAATGAAGTGGAAATTGGCATAAAAAGCTCTGGCAGGCTACATAGTGATTAGTACTGCTCAGAAAGCATTTTGCAGGGGAGCAAAGTAGTCTGGGATTCACCTACGTTTGCCTACAACTTACAGGAAATATGCAATCGTTGCATCTAAAAAGTGGTGTTCTTTCCATGCTGTATTTATGAGATAACCCTCTCTACCCTGCACGTAGTCGTATTTTCACCAAAGCTTTATTGGACACCACGTTAGGCTGTGGGGAGAAAGTCAAGAACACAACAAAGGCTACCTCTGCCCTCATGGGTTTACCATTAGCAGGGAGGTTAGAAAGGAAAGTCTGTGAAGTAAACTTAAAAGATAGGCAAGGCCAAGGCCAGCCAGTGCCCCAGAGGAGGCCATGGAATGGAGCTGGGGTTTTCTTTAAACATATATTAATTTTAGAACTTTTGTTTAAGTCTATGCTTAGATTTTGTAGAAATAACTCACAGTGCCTAAGATAATTCAACTACCTTAACTCTTCACGTAATACATATTAGCAAAGTCCAAAATAAATGATGCAGTGCGAGGTTGTTGCTGATAAAAATCAAGTATAATCAACTTTATGCAAAGATTTCTGTGTCTTAGAAAAAATTCTATCTAGAAGATAAAAACAAAAGTGATTGCGACTTTTAACCGGTTAATCCACTGCTATTGCACATTTCAAATGAGATCTATAATGAACAAGTCTTTATAGAATCATTTTTATATTATTTCAAAGTAAGTGAGAAAACAGCAATTTTTACTGTTTGCATATTGCGTCCTCTTTAATTTTTTTGCTCAGTCACCTTTCTCTGGGCTCTGGGCTCAAGAACAATGACTGCAGATATTAACAGCTCCCCTCCTGGAGTTCACCAATATAGGAGGTCTTTGATAAATGAAGAGTATGATAAAGAAAATATTCACTGGATAAAATTTTAGTCAAATCCATAGGGACTGCATGCGCTGCTTATAAAAATTAGTTGGCACCCATCATGCTCTTTCCAGCATGGGATAAAGCTCTATGTATCATCTCTTTTAATGCTAAAAACTGATACTCTCAAAGGAAGAAGTAGAGAGACCGAGGGGTTAAACCATTTGAGCAAAATAATAAAAAAGGCTGAGAATTGCTTGATCAACTCCTCTATGGTACGAGGGGATTGGATGAAAATAACTCTGAGTGATCTTCTGGATTTAGTGCTCTGTTAAAGTCGATGGTTATGGAGTCCACTCCAGTCATGTGTTGATTAGTGATGGGAATGTATTCTGAGAAATGCCTCATCGGGAAATTTCATCTTTGTTTGTGTGAACAACACAGAATGTGCATATGACCACCTAGATGGTACAGCCTGTGGCACACCTAGGCTCTGGGGTGCAGCCTGTCACCTTGTTAGGGTCCTGCAGACTGTAGGCAACTGTAACACAATGGTAAGACTTTGCAGATCTGAAGATACATAACCATACCTACACATGGAAAAGGTACGGTAAAAATATGGAGTGAAACGTAAGAATGGTACACCTGTCTACGGCAGTTACCACAGATAAATCTTGCAGGCCTGGAAGTTGTCCAGGGTGAGTCAGCAAGTGAGTGGTGAGTGAATGTGAAGGCTTAGGACATGACTGTACACTACTGTAGTCTTCATAAACAGCATACGTTTAGGCTACGTGAAATTTATTTGTATAAAAAAGTAATTGCACTACAACATTATGACAGCTGCAATGTCGCTTAGTGATCATTGTTCAGCTCCACTATAATCTAAGGGGACTGCTGAATGTGGCATTCGTTGTTGACTGAGACATCGTCATGCAGCCCATTACTGTACTTCCCTATACAAGCAGACTCTCCATAGAACGAATGTTATCAATAATCGAATTCCTGATTCTGTGTTTTTAGGGAAGTAACTGGCACAGGTGTTCGCTGATTTTATTTGGTGAAGAGAGGGAAAGCTAAAGATAAAAGGAAAGGCTTGGCGTGGTGGCTCACACCTGCAGTCCCATCACTTTGGGAGGCCAAGGCGGGTGGATCACCAGGTCAGGAGATGGAGACCACCCTGGCTAACACGGTGAAACCCTGTCTCTACTAAAAACACAAAAAAATTAGCCAGGCGTGGTGGTGGGCACCAGTAGTCCCAGCTACTTGGGAGGCTGAGGCGGGAGAATGGCATGAACCCTGGAGGCAGAGCTTGCAGTGAGCCGAGATCGCACCACTGCACTCCAGCCTGGGCACTAGAGCAAGACTCCATCTCAAAAAAAAAAAAAAAAAAAAAAAAAAAGATGGAAGGAAATAACGAACGTAGTGTCTCTTTGTAGATAAGACCAGCAGGAAATGTATTGTTACCTCCTTAGCAATAGGATAATAATGGTGTTGATTATTTGTCTTTCACATAAATACAGGCAAAATTTTCATCAGCTGTTTTTTTTTTCAAGTATATAATTGAACAACCAGAAAATTGATGTGTGTAGTTAAGCATTACTTAGTTGGCAAATTTTATATTGCAGAATCAATGTATGTTGCAAACGATTGTGTGTCTATTAAGTAGATCTGGCCCCTTCCCTCCAGTCTTTTACTTGACAGATACTTTCTCATCTCATTTTACTGCTTTGAAGTATACCAGATCAAATGTTCTCCAAGATTAAATAACATCATCCTTTTCTTCTTTCTCTATCCCAGGGGCTTAACCTAGTGTCTGGTGCATAGTAAGAACTTAAACAACAAATGTTTATTAGGTCCTGATATGGTGTTCCGCTATGTTCTGGTGTGGGAAAAAAATATATAAATTTGAGATTATGGACTCAATGAAAAAAATGCATTTAAATGCGTAATTATAATATACAGTGATAAGTTCTATAGTAGGGGAAAAAAGAGACAAAACATGAATATTGAAGAGAGAATGTCTAATTTAGCCTCAGGGTCTTAACATCAAGCTTTTTGGAGATGTCATTTTATCTGGGCCATGAATGATAACTAGGAATGGGGCGGGATCGTAGAAGAGGAGAATAGACCAGATAGAATGTTTCCTAATGAGTTTATCGTTTTAGAAAATACTCATTCAATATCCATCCAGTTCCACAGATAATCCTAGATTTTGCCAGAATCTTTTTCCTCTAAGAGCTTGTAGTCTCATCGTAAGACGTTGGCACATGAAAAATTTTGTTCAGCTGCTGGTACCGATAATCCGACATTGGCTTTAAAACTCATAGGCTTACTGGGCTGTCATGAAAAGTGCAGTCTAAAAGTTGGTGTGTTCTGCTGCCATGGGTCCAGCCACTTAAGTTGGTCATGAACAAGGCACCTGAAATTCTCTTTGCCTTTCACTCATGGTCCCAAGAAGGCTGCTGCAACTCCAGTCATCACTGGTGCATCCTTGGCATGGAGAAAGTGTACAGAAGAGGCATAAATGTCAGTGGTGTATGTCTGCCACTGCAGTCCCATCTAAAAGCGCTCTCATAATTCCTGTACAACCAATACAACCAATGAGATATTGTTAGCATTTCACTGGTTAACTCCACATAAAAGCCTGTTCCATTTTTAAACTGGGTGTTACTTCTGGAGACTATATTTGGGTTCTATAATGAATGAAGATTTCTGAGAGTAGACATTGTGTAGGTAAGTAGCAGTTTCTGTCATAGGGTCAAATTCTAAGGAGCATTTTATGGTGTTTGAGGAAACAGGACATGCCTCTGGCTTCTCAAAAGCCCTGGAAATGTATTAGAGTGTAACTCAAGTTCTCATTCAGGTCCCCTCGAGTTTATTTCTTCCCAAGTCTCAGTTTTTGTTTTGATCACTGGAAAAAGACAATACATAACTTCAGCGTCTATTGGACAGAAAAGCTAGCATGACATATTCTTCATTGTAGAGATATGTGTTGCACAAATGTTGGAGTGTGCATGACAGAAGACAACTCACAGGAAAGATGGGCAGAAGGCTGAAGCCAGGAACGGAAAGGAAAACGTCTATGCCTGTTTACCTTTGTCTTGTTTTAAGCTTTTTTATCCATCTCCCCACCCCAGCTTTCTATATATCCTGAAAGAACAGAACAAAACTGAAATTGTGTGTTTCAGTAGTTCTCTACCACCTGTACTGTTTCTTTGTTCATCAGTTTCAGTTTAATTTCTGGGAATGATCTTCTGTGCTTAAAGAAATTCAAGTAAACACAACTCAAAAATACGTAAGTTCTCTATGCTTGTAATTAGCTCTGTTTTCTCCTTACCTCCATTGAACATCTTTCTTCCCCTCTACTCTCTTTCCCTCCCTTCCCATTCCCACATTATCCTCCCCTCCCCTCCCCTCCCTTCCCCTCTTCCTCCACCCTCTCTCTCCTCCATCTCTCCTCCTGCATCTCTCCTCTTCCATCTCTCCTCCTCCATCTGTCCTTCTCCATCTTTCCTCCTCCATCTCTCCATCCCTGCATCACTCTCACACACACTTGTGAGATGTCACAACTGTGACGTCTCATCAGGACTAGGTACACATACATTTAACTGTCCAAGGTCTTTGCTCCCCACCAATCCCAGACTATTAAATGAGAAAAGTGTCATGATTCAGCTGCCAGTGTGTAATATCCAGACATGAAACCTGTCTCATTTACTTTTGGGTTGGGATAGAGTCACCTGTGGGATACTGCCCTGATTAAATTGCTTAGAGATCATTTAGGCTATTTATTTTGATATAACTATCTTGTCCTTTGTCTTCTAATATGTGCTCCTACAACACTGCATGGTGTAGGGGCCTTAATTGCCTTTTGGGTCTTGTCTCATGTTATTGCTCAAAATACAAGAACTTTATAGGAGGACATCAAAGCTTTTAAATAAAACCTTCCAAACTCTTAAATTACATTTTATTAAATGTGGCATAATGCAAATACTATGACATTCTTGTAATACAGTACTTTTTAACATTTTTTTTAAAAAGCCTTCCATATACCCATGTGATTGGTGAGGGAAACATATATTGTTAGCTGTTATAGGTTTTATTTATTGTAAACTTGTTCACTTTCTATTATATTCCTTTCTTCATTGGCCTTGTATACCTTTATACTTTTCTCTTTTAAAAAAATGATTTATAGGTAGCCTTCAGAAATTTGGCAGGGAAAATGTGACTACAACATTTCACAAGCACCTGCAGATTACTGGCTTGAATTTGTGTCCAGTATCTAAAAATATGCTTGTCATTAACTGTGATTTAGGAAATATCAGTGTCTAATCAATTCACCTAGTAACATTCAGGGAAACGTGTCATCTGAAGAAAAGAGCTCAGCCGTGACTAAGACCTTATTGTTTAAGAGGTGCTCTTTTCATCAGGGTAGTAGGAATACCCTGTAAATAGTGACAAGGTGTTGACATATTCTAAAAAACATTTCAACCAGTACAATTAAGCCTTTCAACAGAGAAAAGTAATTTTTGAGTTACTGGCATATTTATACATATTTACAGTTTTTCTTTGCAAACTTTCTTTAGATTTGCTCAAGGAAGGGACTTCTGAAAAGGCAATATTTGCTGAGACATAAAATTATAACTGATAATTACAATAGTATCTAATACAGTGTGGAAGGAACTGCTGTACTATTTTGGTAGACCTATCAATTATAATCGTACATGAGTTTATTAAAAGAAAATTAGCTTTCCATTCTAAACTTTTGAGGGTTGACTTCATGGGCGATATACATATAATTCCACCAAGAGTCATTACACCACTCAGAATACCAAGTCACGTGGACCCAAATATCACTCATGTATTACGCATGTTCCCCAGGGAGCAGTGGCTACAATATTGGATCCTCAACCAGCATCTTATCTTGGGGACACTATGCACAGAGTCACATTAGGGGACACACATTCTGTCTTCATAGCTTGCACAGCTATGGAAAATTCCACCAGGACTCCTAAGCTGAGCTGGGCTATTTATATCACTAGAGAGGCTTTTTGTTCTTGCAGGTTGTCTTAGTACATTTGTGTTGTTGTAACAAAATACTACAGACCAGGTACTTTGTAAAGAAAAGAAATGTATTGGTTCACAGTTCTAGAGGCTGAGAAGCTCAAAATGAAGTCACTGGTAGTTGATCAGGGGCTTTCTTGCTGAGTCATCCCATGGCAGAAGGGCAAAGAGGGGTAGCCCACTCTGAGAGCCCTCTTTATTGGGGCATCAATTTATTCATGGGTACAGAGCCCTTATGACCTAAACACTTCCCAGTAGGTCCCAGCTCCTCTTTATATGGGCATTAATTCATTCATAAGTGCAAAGCCCTCATAACCTAAACACTTCCCAGGAGCTCCCAGCTTCTAGCACTGCCTCATTGGGGATTTAGTTGCCAACTCAAGAATTCCGGGGGTCAGGGGACACATTCAAACCACAGCACCATTTAGAAGAATTTCTAAACTGACACTGTGTTCTTCATTTCCCCAAGTGCCCCATTAATTCCCCCATTAATAGACTTTGTTCTCCAGTACTGAGCTACTTCTGCTGAGGCCAAGTCTTCCAGCTTTATTTCGCTACAACAGCGGTAGGAGAAGAGAGCTGGCAGCTCTCAAGCCTAGAGCCACGTTCCACACTGTGTTGAGCAGAGAAAACATTTCTTAACACCATTCTCTCAATACACAGCTTCAAGCTAAGATGGTTAGATCCGCTCCTCAGGTCTCCCTGAGAGTCACAGTGCACGTCAGTAGAGGAGCTCTCTACATCCTTCCGCATTAAATAAAATGTTTAACCCTGTTTACATCACGCACTGTCTCCATGGTTGTGATTATAGGATCCTTTTTCACTAACACTATTAGTTTACTTTGCAAAAGTTGTTTTCTGTGGAATATGCTACATGAAACATCCGTAGACTGAACACCGCTTTATTCCATCCTCTTAGAAACAAGTGGCTTTGCCAGGTCATCTTCATCCTACCTTCCATAACTTTAGAAGTAAAAGACAAGATAATAAAAGAGAAATGTTTGCCCTTTTCTATGTATGTTACCATAAATTCCTCCTAATCTCCTGGTGACACTATCAAGCTTCAAGTAGTCTATCATTCTCTTAATATATGTTAAGATTATATTTTCCCACGAAAGTTTGGTGTAACTGGGGAAAGGTTGAGAAGTCTGTAGTGGTGATCATGAGTGCCTAACAGCAAGGAAGATTAATAGTAAATTCATTGAGTAGCATATGCCAGGCACTGTTGTAAGTTCATTAAATACATGGTCTAGTGTTTGTTTATGTTTTGAATTATGATATTAAAAGTAGCATTATGGTATTATGCATCTACATGCATTAAATAGGCATTCTCAATATGGTCTAAATGGATTTTTTTTTCCAACAGAAAACTGTTGAGTGACTTTTGAGAGTTAGCAATTGTTTTTGGCTATTGGGATACATCAGTCACCAAATTAGGCAAAGATTTTTCCATTCAGAGGAGGAAAACTGACAGTAAACCATGCGCTTAATAAGTGTAATGTAATGTCAGTTGATAGAGATCACCCAAAAAGAAGAGCAGGATACAAGTGTTGGTAATGTCTAGGGCAGGACAGGAGGCTGATGGTGGGTGGTCCTTAATGGTGTAAAATGAAGTGATCAGAAAAGGTCTTTTCGAGAAGTTCATATTTGAACACAGATTTGAAGGAGGTGAGAGAGTTAGCCAAAGAGAAATAGAATGTGTCTATGGCAAAACCTAAAATCCTCCTGTTAGAAGTTGACATATTAATGAATAGTTCAAAAGTATTCGTAAGTAACGACTGACCTTTTTACTTTTAATTAGGATCTTATGTTCAAGTGGACGGGCTCTCTTCTTTTATAAGCGCCATGATAGTTTCACCAGCAAACCAGCACTCACCAAGGGATGAGATGGTAAAAGCGTGTTTGGCTGGGAGAAACTTTCATGCATTGATTGATTAGTATATAAATTCAGATTGTTTGTATAAAGAATAGTGGACTAGAAATTAAGACTTGAATGTTCCTGGACTAGTCCTGCCAACTGTCTGCTGTTGGAAATGGCATGTCATGTCATGTCATGAAATTTCCAGGGCTTCAAGTTTCAAAGCAATTTTTTTCTTCTAATTACAAAATAGCCCATTTGTTTAAAAAAAATAAACTGGAAATATACACAAAAATAATTTCAGAAGAAAGTTCCTTAACAATTTCCATTCATTCAAATGATCATAAATAACTTCTCTAAATGAAAAATCTATATACAATTATGGAGAGCCAACTTAAACTGAAGGTTGGTTGAAGCAATTTCCAAAAGAAGACAAAAAATTATGAATATTTGATTAATGTACCTACATCACATTAATATCTGGGTGAAAATTTATCCCTCAAGAAAAATTTGTACATTGTATTTCTATAACGATGTGATAGAATTTATTAATAATGTCACAAAGTGAACTTAAGCACTTGCTTTGGCTCCCACAGTACTTTTTTCAGATTCTATTTTAAAGTTGTAGGCTTCCAAATCAGCAGTTGATGATACATTTTCAAAAGGGCGTTATAGTATGTGTACCAAAATAAAAATGCAGAAGCTCATACATTACAAAATTAATTTCACATGTTGAATGGTGATAACTTACTTGAAATCTACCTCTGCTCTTCTCCTTGTAATTATGTAATGCAGGGCCATTTAACAAGAATGGTGGTATTATGCGGAATTCTTAAAAGCCTTTGATTCTTCGGGTACTAATAAGAAAAAGTAAATTTCTACACCGAAAGAAAACATGAGCCTGCATAAATATTGAGATAGAAAGCATTTTTCATGAGGCTGCTCTTCAGTGTCTGAGTGACACAGCAGGAGAACTGCAAGCTGGAGATGCAACCAATTCTACAACTGACTCTACCTTACTCGTAAGAGATGTCCACACCCAGCAGCACTCTATGTGGTATGACAGGGCAGTGTGGTAGAGAAGACAATTGACCACCCATTGATTATCTAAGTGATTTTGTCTTTGGTCATTGTACTCAATAGTTACTTGAGGGTCCCTTTCTCGCTGTTCCAGGAATTGTTCTAGAGAAATGCTATGCAAACTGTGTTATAGAGCATAAAAAAGATGCGGAAAAGAAAGCAATATTGAGGACGGTGTGATTTCCTTTCCTTTTATTGGCGTTTTCTTCACTAGACCGTACAACCCATGGGGTAGCCCTTGGATGTCTTCTTCACTTTATATTTTAAGGTTTTGAATGATATTTAGCACATATGGGGCGCTGAGTGTTTTATAAATAATACAATAAATTTCTACTTCGTCTAAAGTGTTTCCATAGTTTTCAATATTATCTACATTCTCTCTTACAAAGATTTTTTGAAGAAACATTTATGCACGGAAAAAGTGTTTAAAAAGTCACTTTGTAGATTATTTGAGTGTTCAGCTCTAAATTCTATGAACATTTATTTACAAGTCAAATGTCCTATACTACATTTCTTTACATTTCAAATGTCTTAAAAAATCTTCTTGATCCTGTTTTCTTTATTTAAATAAATACAATCATTATTCCAATGATAAATTAAAAAACAATGAAAAATTAAGGAAAAATGGGTTAAGTTGTTTTTTGTTTCTTTTGCTTGCCTCAGCATTTGCAGAAATTCATTTCTGCTGAACAAAGCTAGACCCATCATATCAAATTCTACAGGAGAATTGCAAATAATTATTTTAAAGAAAACCCTCATGAAACATCTTAAGTAAAAAAAGTAATTTTCACAAGGGTCTTACAATTTTCTTTAAAAACTCTTATCTCTGTAACAAGACCAATTGATAATTGAGGTACCATACGAAGAAAATGGAGTGCCCTTTCTCTACAACTTATTAAGAACTTCACAACAGCAGCTGCAGAATATTTTATCAAGAACTACTCTTCTAAGGACTGACCGTGTCCTTTGCAAGGACGTGGATGGAGGTGGAGGCCAATATGCTAAGCAAACTAACCCAGGAACAGAAAACCAAATAGCACAAGTTATCATGTATAAGTAAGATCTAAATGATGAGAGCTCATGAACACACTGGGGGAACAACACACACTGGGGCCTTTTGGAGGATGGAATATTGGAAGAAAGAGGGGATCAGGAAAATAATGGGTACTAGGCTTAATATCTGGGTGATCAAATAATCTGTACAACAAACTCCCATGACATAAGTTTACTTAAGTAACAAACCTGCACTTCTACCACTAAACTTAAAAGTTAAAAATCAAACAACAACAACAAATAACTGACCTAGGTTGCATGTTCATGAGACCATCCCTGTCCACGGCCCTGATAGATTGTATTGTTTAGAAGGAAAAGTCATTTTAATGAGTTGAGAAAACGCCTTAGCTAAAGCACCATGTATGAAAAGTATACCCTGTGAGATGTCCTATGTTCAAAGATTATGTGATTATGTAATGATGTGATTGTGCACACTTGTCAATAATTTTTTGCCTAATTTTGTTAAGAAAATAGGAAATATGAAAACAGAGTTGGGTGATACGGCCTGACTTAGTCACCAAGAAGTGTATATCTTAGAGCACTTGAAAAAATTACCTCACATAGGATAATTTAAATTGTCATTCATATGGGGTAGATTGGTTATCTGAATTCAAGATTTCCTTGGTTTGATTATGACATTGTTGACCAGAGGAACCTGTTGACCAGCTGATCGATTGTGAACTCACATTTCCTCTACACACCTCATGTTTAGCATCCCAGCATGGAGAGACCATGGATTGGGAAACATCCAACCTTAGGCTCTTCATGAAGAGTTTTTGTTTGCTGAGTTGGGTGTCTCGTGATTGTGTTGAGCACCACCTAACCTGCCTCCTCCTCCCTTTGCATCATCAGAGTGTGGATCAGGCTGTCAGAAAAGGCAGGCTGGGTACTTGCAATCTTTCCTCCCACCCCAACCCTCTGCAGCCTCACAAGCCCAAGTACATACTTTTATGCAGTGTTTGTTGTGTTAACATATGTAGAGTTATATAATTCATTGCGTAATGCAGGTGCTTGATTTCATCCGATTTAGAGTTCAGAAAACCAGTGGTAAGTTACTTGTTTGACAGCATGCCACTAATAAGATGGGGAATGAGATTCTGAACCCAGGCATTTCCATGGAACATTCTGTGTGAAGTGAATATTGAAAATCTTGAGGGTCGTTATTCATTCCAGACAGGTTGGCAAAATAGCTATAATACACATTTTCTAATGAATGGTGGTTTTATAGTTTAAATGTGTATGTGATTCTTTTTGATGTTTGTCGATTTACTTCCACTCCAGGCTTTTGGTTATTTTAAAGTTTATTTGTTTTCAAGCAATGGTGATGACAAATTGGAAGATTTAAATGTTGTTATCTCCATTATATCTATCAGGAGTTTAATATCCCTAGGGGATCTTGTTACAATGACACCAGAAGGAGGTCAGAACATATACATACATATATACACATATTTTATACATACGTATAAAATATCCCTTCTCTTTTTCTTTAAGTAGCAAAACTCTTCACTGTAAAAAAATTATTCCATTGAGGTAACTGAGTTTTCTAGACATAGAGGAATGATGTGTGAAAATAACACAATTTAAATCTGTCATGTAATAACTTGGATCAGTTTTGAAGAAATTTGTCATGTTCAGTGCACTGTTTTTCTGGGAGACAGATCTACAATAGTTGATATTTACGCAGTATTTTCCCATTAAACCTGATAAGAAAAAAGAAAGAAAATTTTATTTGACTTGCTAACACTCTTCAAACTATTTTTAGGTTATCCAAAATCATACATTTATAACTTTGGCTTTTTAAAAAATTATTTGACAAAAATATACAGGCCTGCTTTTCTACTAGTTTTATGAAGATCTATTAACATAAAAACATCCGTTTCTAGGTCTTTCTACCTATTAAAATCCCAGTTCTTGGAGCTCCAGGCAAAGTTTCAGGCATGGAGACAAGACTGCATAGTGTTTCCCGAAGACCCGGGGGCCTGCTCTCAGTGCCCCTGTGCTCTGTGGAACGTTTCAAGCCTAGCTGTTACTGTTGCTGCTGCTTGGTCTAGCTCAGCTAAGCCTAAACGGTTCTACCAGAAACTTGCAGAGCTGCCTGTAGCACAAATCTACTTGTGCTGCGCGAAACTCATCCGCACAGCACCCAGTAGTCATCTTCAGATGCACAGAGCTGTCCACAACAGGACTACCTGCACTTTAACATAAAAACAAAGAGCCTGCAGCCAGGTTAAAATGCAGCTTCCCACTCCATGGCAGGGACTGAAATTCTGCCACTGTAACCCGTTCCCACCTGCTACTGATGATTGTAGTTGGAGGAAGTCACTTTGGGAAGCAAACTCTCTGCTAACCTAATGTGTTTATGGGAGAAAACAGGAACCACAAATCAAGGCAATAACACAGTCCCTACTCTGTTTTCTTATACATCTTTGTTTCATTGTAAAGATGACCTTGTCATGATTTGCTTTTCTTTCTTTCCTCGTTGAATACTAGAATGATGACACGGCAAAATGAGTGTTCTTTTTTGTGGACTCAGATTATGGATGTACGATACCATGAGATGGAAATTTAATCAAAAATTAAGTTGCAATATCACACATGTGTTTTAAGAAACTGTAATAATTTTCTGTGTTTTCGGTGGTTAAGGAAATAGTCATGGAGACATCTCTCCTTGCATAACTTATTTACTCATATGCTTGCTTAGGGGTAATTTCCCCATTTCTCTGGTTACAAAGATAAGCCTGCTGTTTAAAATTAGAAAGTTTCTGTTTTGAGTAGACATACTGGCTAGAAGCCGAATCTGGGAAGAGTGTCAGTTACAGGGGAACAAGGAGCAAAGTGGTCAGTAGAGGATGAGTCATTCTCTCCAAGTCAAGCTGTTTTTTGGGCCCCTCTCGGCATTGCATAGGTTTTCAAAGCTTTAGTACAGCAATTTCAGATTTAGCCAAGAGCCTTTACCATGAAATTCAGACCTAGTTCATGAGACTAGGTAAGAAAATACCTGAGCTGGTGATCTCCCCTTTCCTGACTCTCCTAATAGCCAATCGCTCTGCCATGTCCTCCTCAGCCCAGAGCAGAGGCTTCCATGCAAGCACTCTCCCTCCTCTCCTTTTTCCAACTGCTCAATTTGTCTGATTTTCCACAGTGAACATGTTCCGGATTCTAAGACCTCATGGCAAGAAAGGAAAAAACTACCCCTGACCCGTGTACTCAGATAAAACCTCTGCCATTCTAGTCTGTTTCCTTTGCATTTTAACAAGTTAGTGCCTTCACTACACATAAAATTTTAAACTTTGACTTTTCATGCAATGTTATATATTGATCTTTTTTTCTGGGTCAGAAAAAGTTTTAGAACATACATTTTAATGACTTTAATATTTCATCCTGATGCTTTAATCTAATTTACCTAGTGACTTCACTAATAGTCACATGTCGTTGGTGAATGAAGGTTTCCTCCAACTTTATAAATGAATAAATTACCATCTTTCCATCCAGGGATGTTCAGATTGTGCCCTGCAGGAGAGCCACTCAACTGGGCAGAGTGGGCTCCACTCACAGCAGAGTGAGCCCTGGATTGGGGTCTGTGAACCTGGAAGGAGGGAATCTATTTCCAAACACACAAAGATGCCTCATGAACTAGCAGTAGTCTGGTTTATTTGTAGATACATTCATTAACATTTCTGAGTTTTTTCAAGACAACTTACTAGAAGGGGAAAGACTAGTTAAGAACATTTTTAAGATACTTAATAAATATGAAAATTGCTCTCAGGAAGTCTCTGCTAATTTATGCTCACAACAATAGTCCTATTATAGCTTGAAGTATTATGATACATTTTATCCTTTTCTCATTTGCTGGGTGGGGGAAGTGTTTTCTTCTCTCATTTACAGCTCTTTGATTACTTAGGGAGGTTGCAAATTTTCATGTTTACTAATCACTTGTAATTACACTACTATGAATTTTCCAGTCTGCCCTTCACTGTAAAGCATTCACAGAAGATGATGTTTATAAAGATTGGCAAATTTCTTATCTAATTTCCATCAAAAATCACAATTCTTTTATTTAAAGTTTTTAATATACCATTCTGAGAAGGATGTCTAATTTGGTGGATATATGCTAAGAAAGACATATAATTCTTAGAGCATTCTGAGAATTCATGATGATGCAAAAATTCTGCCTGGTGATAAAGGTTAATTTACCCTTTTTCATTTCACAAAGTCAAAAGGTATTAAAACAAGGGGCAGATGAATTGGTCTCATTTACTTTAAAGCACTGTTGGCATGTTAATCCGTTTGAAAACTTATACTGAATCTGGTCAATTGGTAGGACAGTATAAAATAGCTTCACGATGTTGTCTTTATGCCTTGCATTCTGCCTCCATCTTTCTCTCTTTTTTTGCACTTAAAAATCACCCCATACTTGGGAGGCTGAGACAGGAGAATGGCGTGAACCCAGGAGGTGGAGCTTGTAGTGAGCAGACATCTGAGATCACGCCACTGCACTCCAGCCTGGGCGACAGAGCGAGACTCCGTCTCAAAAAAAAAAAAAGAAAAAAAAAATCACTCCAAATCCCATTTCTTATCTGGATGGAAGAAATACCATTTGTAATGATTTTGATCATTGAATTATTTCTCCTCTACATAGAAATCCTCTAAACTTGTGTTCCGGGTATTTAGGGTCCGCTGTGTCCATCTTTTGTGCTAAGCATGGACATAGAGTGGTGCACTAGAGACCCTGCCCTCCTGGGGGCACAGACATTCAAAGACACATCCTCACTGCATGAAGCGACTTCTGCAGTTGGAGATGTAGTGACTGAGATAATAAAGTGCTATGAGGAAGTTTAACATGGGGTTAGCAAGTACTTAAGTGGGAAGGGTTTCCCTGAGGACCTGCTACTCGAAGGTGAGAACTGAAGGAAAAATAGGCAAAGGCGTGAAATATGTTCCAGGGGGTTACAGCAGGTAAAGGGAATGAATTGTGGTGAGATTATTTAGGGCCCTGTGGTGTATATGAAGGGTGTCAAATTCTATTCTAGTGTGCTACAAGTCATGGACTTTGTTTGACTGGAGAGTTCACGATCAGGATTTCATTTGTTTAAGAAGACAAGCTGTAGGGCCATCAGTGAAGCTAGGGTTCATTGAAACACAGGTTTAGAGGATTCTATGTAGAGGATAAGTAATTCAGCGATCAAATCCATAGGGGTAGCTTCATTAAAAGACTAAGAAATAACACTAGTCAGTCAGATGGGTTTTCACTGAGACGTTGGCTGGAAATAATTGAACAGACTTAAAGGGTATTTAGAAGGTATAATTGTCAGAAGTTGGTAATGGAAAAATAATTTTAAACTATTTTCTTTACAGTAACATGCGCCTGAATGAATACATAACTCAATATTTTAAAAAATGCTACCCCATGCTACGCCCTCACATAGACACCAAATAAAAAAATAGATAGTATGGATATTTTTGGCTGTCACTTTTATTATAAGAAAAAATTAAATTCAAAGGGCACAGAAAAAAGGAAGAGCAACATTGGCATCAACTGCATTTTTTAAATTGTGGTACATTTACATTAGGGGATGGGAGCCAGGAGTGTATAAGGGGAGTACTTGTTGAAAGGCACTGGGAATGAGATTGGATAGCCATCCTCAGTGTGAAAGGAGTTCATTTTGAGCTAAAAGATAAAATAAAAAGGCAGGAGGCACAGGCTTCTAAGAGGACACTACACAATCAGGTTAGTTTCCAGATTCTTGCTGCAGGCTTTGTGTCATTTCATCTTATTTTAGATTGTTATCTGAGATGTGGAAATAAGTTCACAAGTGAATCTTGAAGTCTACAGGGATCAGAGCAGGCAAAGGTGCTCAACTGTGATGCCTGCAAAATGGGGCATAGCCAGAATGCAGGAGTTTCCTTTTTAGCAAAGATGCAGCAACACCAGAAGTTTAACTTGTACAAGGTGATAAGGGTCAAAGCAATCAGAGGTTTCCCAGTGAAAAGGCTGCCAGCCCCTCATGAAACAGGTTAGCACAAGCTACGCTCTGCAGCCGGTTGTCAAAATCACAGTTATGGGAACCTCAGTGGCCTTGTTTATTTGGAAATCTGGGATTAAATAATGTTTATTTTACTTTTAGATAGAAAAATAACAATCAACATTTGGTTTAGTATTTAAGAAGCTTTATTTAAAGCTTAATTGAGTAATAAAAATGCATGATTTTCTTGTCAAGAAATATGTGGGACTTCTTGAAAACACAGAACACGCCTTATGTATTTTTAAGAAATCACTGGTAAAAGAGGTTTGGATTTAAAAGTGCATTATTTTTTGTTATGACTTACTAATTCAACTCTATTTTACTTATGCAAATTGCTAATGCTGCAAAGGATAAGGATACTTTGTTTTTCACTATATTCCAAAATAGTGTAGACACATTCAGGCAGAAATTGTGTAAATATCTTGACCTTTTCTGTGAGAATGGAACTAACGTGAAAGATAGACCATTGTCATCATTAAGAAACCACCACCCACCTTTCCACAATAAAGCAACCAGTTTTCCCAAAACAACATAATGCGATGTTCTGCCACCCAACATAATGCAATGCTCTGTGACCCCGAGCATGGCTGCAGCAGTTTGGGTTCTCTAGGTGGAAATGCCTTCTAAGAGAGGCAGGTGGCTAGGGGATTTACTGGAGGGTTATGGGGTGGCACATAACATGCTGGAACTGCTTTGGAACCACCAAAACCAGCTCTGAGGACCAGACTGGGGTGGGGCAGCTGATCTGAGGGTGCTACATCTCTCCTTGCACTGATGGCTCCAGGACCCAGCCTCCAGGAGAAAGACGAGTTAAGATGAATCACAGTTAGATAGATCCCAACCATGGCCAAATGAGAAAACAGCTTCATTGGCAGTTCCACCAAGGTTGAAGGGCAGAGGAATCTTCTCCTTAGCACTGGTGTTGCCCACACAAAAAGAAGAAGTTGATGCAACAGAGTACATCCAACCTCAGCATCCACTGTAATGGAATTCTGAGTTTGGCAGGATGTGAAACGTGAGACTCAACTGTATCTCTAATGTAAGAAGATAGTTCATTCAACTCTGGTGGAGAACGTAATGATTTTAATTGGGGAGTAAATTGTTTTAACCCACATAATCTCCCTTAAGAAAATACTATGTGACATAAGTTTAAACATTTGAAGTTATTTTTGTTCAGGGATGTGTGATATTTCAGCAAAAGCAGATTTTCGAACCTAATCCTGTAGCCATAGTGATGGGAAGCAGGAAAATGGGACTCTGGGCTGTCTACTCTCTACAGAAGAACAGGGTAGAAAATCATATGTAGAACTATTAATAAATTTAACCTAGAAACTCAAAAAAGCATTTGCTAAAAAAATTGCATTTGCTATCGATTTTTAAAAATGTACTTATTAGTATGACTTTGAGTGTGGGCCAAAGCATTTACAAAAGTTACTGCCTAAGTCTTCTTTACCCAACTGGGAATGTAATGGCAATGAAAACTTTAATTGGAAGCAAGAGAAGGATAATATTGACCTGCCCCAAACAGCTAACAGGTATTGAGGGCCAAGGATAGTCCAGGGTTGTTGGCTTCAAGACACAGGAATGACCTCATTGGTTTCATTCTTCCTGTTTTTTAAGTGAGAAGACTGAAGTCCTTTAGAGTTAAGTAATATGGACACATTGTCTAACTAATCACCAGCAGAATCAACCTCAAGCCTGTCTGACCATGGGGCCTGTGCCTCTAGTCACCTCTTAATGTGCCTCCTTACCCTAAGGCAGTGTGCTCCCATCTTTGTCCATGAGGGAATCACAGTATTGATTTGTGACTCTAGGGTATACCATGTGTGCTCAGGGCGGAGTTAGCAGATGTGCTTTGGGCTGCCCCAGTCCTTGCTGGGAGCTGGAGGACCACCCTCGCGCACATGCTGAGGAGGACCAAGCTGAGAAGGAGGAAGCACATTCATTCATGTCTCTAGTCCCTAGTGAAAGAATCACAGGGTCTGGCACATAGAAGACCCTCAGCCCATTTTATAGGGTGGGAGTGTGTTAATATCGACGTACTTGGCATTCTAAGATGTCCTTTGGGATTCCAGGACTGGACTTACCAGACATTTTTAGGCCAGGGGCAGACATGACTGAAAAAATTGTGTCTCAATCTTAAAACGTTTACAATCTCTTGAGGCCTCCTAGGGTAGAAAAACTAAGCAACGTGCTGGAAAGCACATGATGTGGTTCGTCCCGCCCAGTAGGCCTGTGCATGCCTCTGTCACCCTGAGCCAACCCAGGAGACAACTCCTGGAGACTCTGCTTCTCCGCCAGTGAGAGGAAAGCTTCACATTTTATTATTTAGATAGACTTCTGTTTAAGGAACATAAGGCATTGTCCAGAAAAAAATAATACAATATAAAGCTTCCCTTTTTAAAAATTATTTTTGGGCCAGGTACTGTGGCCCATGTCTACAATCTCAGCACTTTGAGGTGCTGAGGAAGAAGGATCACTTGAGCCCAAGAATTTGAGACTAGCCTGGTCAACATAGCAAAACCATGTCTCTACAAAAAGTAAAATTAGCTGGGCATGGTGGTGCACACCTCCAGTCTCAGCTACTAGAAAGGGTGAGGCAGGAGGTTGAGGCTGCAGTAAGTTGTGATGACACTATTGTGCTCCAGCTTGGTTGACAGAGCAAGACTCCAACTCAAAAACAAAAAAAAAAAAGTAGTATTGACTGCAGTATAGCATCATGTTCAAGAGTGAAGACCGTTTAGCCATATTACCTTATTCCTCACTTCAAAGCTCTTACCGTTTAGGGTATACATATTAAATATTCACAAAAAACTGCCTGGGTGTGTATCAATACCTCATTTTATATAAACGGAAACTGAGTCTCAGAAATAATGTTTTCTGTTGAAGGATTAGTTTATTTACTGTTCAAGGAGTTAACATTCCCTCTCAATATTTGTTTCTTAATATAAACACCCTCACTCTGAATCTCTTCAGGACCAAAGGGCAGGACGTCTACTTCGGAAAAAATTAAACAATTGATTTGCAAAGTTGGTGCAAATATGGAAAGGCGAAGGGAGCTTGATGAGTTTCAATCAGTAAGAATTTCTTTAGGGCTTCCGTGCAAAGTAGCTAGTTCTTGATGGAGGATAGTGAGTGAAGAATAAAATTGTAGGCGTAATCATAAGGAGGTTGTTATCTGTCCATGGCAACACATATATCCATGAAGCAATGGAGCGCGATTTAAGATCTTGTGTGTGTGAGAAAATAGTTGGTCCTCAGTGTAACTGCTTCCTGAGGAAACTGAACTTGAACTTGTTTCTGATTACAATTTTAGCTGAGAGGCCTGGAAATTGAATTTATACCATTGCCTGGCCTGTCACTGATGCTTCTGTTCCATTTTGTTCAGTGACTTCTATATTTGGAAAGCAACATAGACTTAATAATTTGGGCTACTATTTAGTAATTGCCCACCTTGTAAAATGTATTGAGATAAGCCATTTTAATCCAGCAGTCTTCGAAGGCACAGTGATTATTGCCATTTTACAGATGAAGGGACCAAAGCTTGAAGAGTTTAAATAAGCATGCAATTCATTATTTTAACATTGATTTTGGCTGAATTCTTTTAAGAGGTAGGTTTAGAACCTAAGCTTAAATTTGTCAGCTCATTTAGTATTGAAAACTTTCTATCACGTTGAATTTTTCTAAGTCACATGAAATCTCGCTAACTTTTTTGAGCAAATCATCTCAGATTCCTACTCTGGCCCATGAATACAGCCAGTTGTGTTTGTTGTTAAATGTCACAGTGTTACCCGGGGTGTAGGAGAAAAATTCTTGACTGGCTAGAGTGGGTGCTTCGTCTCGTCTTCACCCCTTTCTCCGAGTGGGGATGAAATCTTGGTTTGTGTGACTCATGCACTAAACTACTATACTATACTGTTTCCTGCGTTCTAGTTTCTGTAAGAATTCCGATCAGTGTGCCAATTACAAATAAAGCCCCTCAGGAAGGTAGGTGATGCGATGGATTATAGATCTATGAATTCCCGCAGACGTACATCATGTGTTGTCCGTGGCATTTCAGTTCCTGATCGAAGACCTTACTGATAACATACGGTGTTTTTATCCCACCGTTTGAAGCCCTGTGCTGGGCCTACAGGAAACCTGGAAAAAATGAAATTACAAAAAAAAAAAAAAAAAAAAAAAAAAAAAACAAACAAAAAAAACAATATCCATTAACCTCTTTGCTCACAGTGATTATCACGAATCACTTGCTAGGTAGCTTAGCATTTTGGCAACTAGGTTAATTTCACGGTAAACACAAATGGTTTGTTGGCGGAAGCTGCGGCTCAGCTACGGGATGTGTCAGCCGGTTCCGCTATTCCTCAGTTAGAATCAAAGGATGGCAGGATGTCTCCTCTCCTCTGAGTGTTCTCAAGTTACAAAAACAAATGTTTCAAAGAAAAAAAGAAAAAGACTAGGGGTCCAGATGGGGGACACATTTTTTCCTCATTACACTTGCATGTGAGAACTTACATATCACAAGAATAAATAAAATTCTTCAGGAAAACATGGCAACAGGCTGACCCATTTTAAAAGGGTCGATGCATTTCAGGTCCTCAGTAAGTTGAGCAGGCCAGTGTCATGAGATCCCTGAGAGAAAAGACTAGATGGAATTCTTTATAAAAGCACAAGAAAATATTCGGAGCACTTTGAGTAGATTCATGTATGTACCATTACTTAGAAGATTTGTTTTCTAAAAAGCATGTGAATTAGGTTTCCAAATCACACTCAGCAGGTACTTGTGGACATGGCATACTACATAGCCTTTAGAGCATTAGGTGTGCTAAGTACCCTGAGTAAAAACAAAAAACAAACAAACAAAAAAAAAACAAAACACGTCTTTTGATTAATGAGTATGAATGGCTATATAAATTTTAAAATTTCTTTTTTTCCAGTGCATTTTTGTATGTGAGTTTTATGATGTAGCCTACGAAATCTAACAAAAATGATGTTGTTCGTTTTCTTTTTTGCACCCTTGGTCCATTCTTGAGTTTGGACAGGAGAGAGATGCCTCTGAAAGATGAATCACACACACTGTGGGTGGAGACGGAGGAAGTCTTTTTTCTAGGATTAAAGCAACATAATTTTTCTATTCTTGAAGTCCCCTGGAAAGGGACTCCTATGGATGGAATGCGTCCCCTTAAATTCGAATGTTGAAGACTTAACTCCCACCAATACGATGGTATTTAGAGCTTTTGGGATAAAATTGAGATTCCATGAGGTCATGAACACCCCGCCCTTAGAATCAAGATTAGCACATCAGTTACAACAGACAACACAGAGGTCTATTTCTGTTTTTTGTTCACACACCGAGGAAAAGCTACGTGGGGACAGAGCAAGAAGGCGCCCACAGTGCAGAGACTGTTCTTATCTCTCCAACCACCAGTTTCTCATGATTATCTGGGGGCAAGTTAGCCCAGATCTTTTGTTCTGGGAGCAGCCACGACTCCAGTTTTCAGCGGCAGCAGCGACACCGTGTGGCCGTACACCACACCATTCATTCATTAACAAGTGTTTATTTAGCACCTGCCATCTATTCGTCAGGTGCAATCTTCCATGTCCTAGAATAAAATGGTGAATAAAGTGTAAATACAAACACTCAATTAAAAAAGCAGCGCAGAATTGTACTAAAGGAACGGCCAAAAGATGGGATAGGAACATTTAGGAGTGATATCTAGTGTAGACTGCTGAATTCAGACCTCAAGGATAAGCAGGTCTCAAATGGCCACACAGAGAAATGGACGTCTTGGTAGCAAAGGTAGTTTCCATGGAAGAGCAGACTGAGGTGGTTCAGGAATGCCGGTGGCTGCCACACATCTTCCACTCCTGCAGAGAGGCTGCTTCAGGAGCCTCGGCCCATTTCTAAACTTGTGTCTGCAATCGCCAGCTCTATGGATGGGTCCCATAGATCACTTCGTGTAAGTCTTGTTCATTCACAACCTCCTGCTTTAGTCTGGTGGCAGCCTTCGCTTACAGATGTCTTTTCTGTTCATCTTTCTTGGTCTAAGTCAAGAGTTAACTCCTGGGAATCTGTGCTCAGTCCTATGAAGAATAATCTTCCATTTCATTTAACTCCTGTAGCACTTGATGTACTTGTGTAGGTTAGTACTTAGGCAGGGGTTAATGGTTGACTTATCTGTTTCACTGGCTGATGGTAGACTCTTAACCAGATGCCAGAACCTCTCAGGCAGAAGGGATCACATGTTCCCCCACCCCCCGCCGTTTTACCTTAAGCTCTCCATGCATTAGTCTCACCTCATTAAGGCATTTTAGGGTGACATTGGTTCATCCAAGTACTGGATATGGCTTCCGCTTGAAATTCTCAGGATTAGATTCTTTATATATGGCCAAATAATAATTAACCAACTCAAATGAAATTTCATGAAATATCCTAAAGATACTCTACTTCTTCTCAGATATTATTTGTGCATTTCAACAGAGATCTTACATCTTTATTTTATTAATATCTTAGTCTGTTGGGGCTGCTGTACCAAAATTCCATACATTGGATAGCTTATAAAGCACAGAAATTTGCTTCTCACAGATCTGGAGCATCTGGGCAGTCCAAGATCAAGGTGTCCTGGTTGGGGATCATTTCCTGGTTCATAGACAGGGCCTTCTCCCTGTGTCCTCAGACAGTGGAAGGTGTGAGAGAGCTCTCTGCGTCCTCTTTTATAAGGGCACTAATCCCGTTCATGAAAGCTCCTTCTTCCTAATCAAAGCATTTCCAAAGGTCCCATCTCCAAATACCATCACATTCGGGGTCAGGTTTTCAACACATGAATTTTGTGGAAAACACTTTCAGAACATAGTACTTAGTCACTGAGAAAAACTAATGTAGGTACTTTTAATATGTCAATGAAGAGAGGTTTTTAACATTCAAATTTGAGATGTGGCTGGCGGAGAGTGGGCACTTCTGCATACAAAGAAGCTGATCTTCCCTGTCACAACAGTGTTAACTTCAAAAAGAAAAAGAAAAAATTGAAGAAAATGATATGTTTTCAATATGAATGTTGTTGCTTCTATTAAAATGCATGTCATTGTTCTTGAAGCTGGAACGTTGTGGATAAGTGATAGCATTTTCCAACTGTGCAGTTCAGTGCCAGTGCACAGAACAATGAGCTTTAATAAACCTAGAGCAACATATCCTTGTGGTTTTGATCTGCAGGTGCATGTAGACATGACACCACGTCTATCCTCTTCCTGTTTCCTCCTTTTCTTATGAATAACCAAATTATGCTTGACTGCAGAAAACTTTTTGGAACAAAGAATTCTTGTGAATTTCAATATCCTTTTCCTCCTTTTACACTTATTCAAGATTGTTGCCCCTAAAATAAATATATAAATAAATAAATAAAGTAATGTTTGTCTTTTAGATTTCGAGGCACCTGACATTCAATTCATTTCCAAACGTCAATTAGGGTTTTAACCAGATAGCAGTGAATTAAGGCAATCTTACGACTGTTAAATCATGCTTGACATGACACTTTTATAAAATGTCTCCTTCAGTTTAGGTGAGAGTTTTAGTTAAGAAAGTAAGATTTAGTGATGAAATACCCTTCATCTAATTTGCAGCAAGACATGACACTGTGGTTAGGATCACAAGAGTCATTCACATTTCTCATTTTTGAGTGGAGAAAAGCCAAGTCAATTATTCTTCATAGGTAGTGTGTAATTTAAAGGACATGTGTGGCTGGGCGCAGTTGCTCATGCCTGTAATCCCAGCACTTTGGGAATCTGAGGTGGGCAGATCACCTGAGGTCAGGAGTTCAAGACCAAGCTGGCCAACGTGGGGAAACCCCGTCTCTACTAAGAATACAAAAATTAGTCAGGCTTAATGGCGGGTGCCTGTAATCCCAGGTACTAGGGAGGCTGAGACAGGAGAATTACTTGAACCTGGGAGGCGGAGGTTGCAGTGAGCCAAGATCGTGCCACTGCACTACAGCCTGGTGACTGACAGAGCGAGACTCTGTCTTAAAAATAAATAAAAACAAATAAATAAAGGACAAGTGTTTCTCAATACACTTGGATTTTGAAGTTTAGAAAAGGAAACTAATAGTAAAGTGAAAATCTTGAAAGTATCAGAAGCATGAATGTGATCAAGTACTACAATAATTACTACTTCGCTCTTCTAACACCTCATAGTATCAGGCCAACATATTGTTTCATACTTACGTCCTATGTCGATGGCTTTGCTTTACAAAATGATTAGCCTTTTGCAAAAGAAAGAAAGGAGGAGGTAGAAAAGGAAGAAGGAAAACACATATTTTATGTATGAGATTCAGAAATTTTAGTAAAACACAAGTATTAGGAGTTGATGTGTTTGATCCTTTATCATATACATGTACAGATATTCTGGGTGCTTTTCCTATACTGGCAGTTTTGTTAGGTAGAACCCTGAGTATGGGGACTGAGGCTGTGGCATGGCCAACAGTGTTATTTACTTTTTCCATGGTCCATCACTACCAGTCACATTCTTAAGACTTGGCTTATTAACTGTAGTCATAAGCCCACAGCTTGTAGTTAATAGCCTACTTATCAGACAGAGCCTGCAGTAAAGAAGATATCTGACTCAACATTTGTTGGGGGATTGTATGCAGATTTATAACAATAATAGTTACATGCAAACTGTTGTCATTGCTTAGCCTTTAACACCAAAAAAAAATTACAGACCTTTCTTATGTCTCCTAATTGAAGGGCGTGAGAGAGCTGGCCCTGAGAGAGTTCACTGTCTAATGTCTGATCTCTACACCTATCACTTTTATCGTAATTTTTGTAACAACTTTGTGAGACAAATATGCTCCTATTCTCTCAGAGGAGGAAAATTATCCAGCAATGCTAGGTGATTTATTGAAGTCATATGTGAGGTTGGACCCATGACTCTGAGCCTCACACGCTTTTCTTAGCATCACTGCCTCTGGTAACAGATGGCTTCCTTCCATGATGGCGGCAGTAACCTCAAAGAGGGATAAGACAATGCCTTTCATTTAGACTCAATGCGCAATTGATGTGTATTTTAAACATTTCACTATATCAATATCCTGTTAGTTTTCGTAATACTCTTCTGTAGTTCAACATATATCCTTGGTGGAGAAATGCTTAATTTAGGATAACCCTTGTAAAAACGCTTTCCCCAATTTTCCCACGGTAGCAAGTTGGATAGTTTTTGCTCTGTGAATGTGTGTGTGATGAAACAAAATACTAGTACTGATGTTGCAAATGAAATAATCTAAGCACATGTTTTCCAAGTAGAAAAAAACAGGAGATTAAAAAATCACAGCATATAATATTGAATTTGGTGGTGACTCAAGTTAGTGCCGTTAAAGAATCTATAATCGATTGTTCCTAACCACAAAAAATACATTGTGACACTGCAAAAGCTGCTGAAGTATGAGAGGTAAAAATTACTTGAAAGTCAAAAAAAAACTGATAGAATTTATTTCAATAGCTTGTAATCGGTTTTATATTTATAGTCATTAAAGGTCTAGGAAAATTACTATTAGGCAGTAAAAATTTATAATATTTATGGAGAAAATTATGAGCTACTTGGTAGTCACAAATTTGGGGGTTTAAAAACATCTTGATACATAACAGCCATGAACATTAAGGATGTGTTTTATGATTGGACTTTATTGTCCAATATAATTGAGCAACTGGCCTAAAAACTCTGTATGTGGGAAAGGACAGTAACCATTATATCTACTTTGAGCAGAGTTTAATAGTTATTGATTGGGATATAATTTAATAAATATGTTAAGTCACAGGTTAGACCTTGGATTATATACAAGATCATTTATTTATTAGTTGTCTGACCTCAGGTAGGTCACCAGAGTTTACTCGGCTTGATTTGCTTTATGCAATGGATGGATTAATTGGATAGATTAATTGAGGATTAAATGTTTTAATATAAATCTAGAATATAAGATACTCAACGATATAAATCTATTGTAGAGCAACACAAACATTTATTAAGATTAGAGGGAAACTCTAGATCTTAAGATAATTTGGCTCAGAATATCAATTCAAACATACCCAGCACTGCAATATGTCATCACATTCTGAGATGATTTAATCTTAGAAAAAGGTTTATAAGGCTTGTAGTCTAATAAGCTTGTATACACACCTGAGTGCACGCACGCACGTAAGATGTTCTTATGTTTAAAATGTTGAATAGCAAAATCATATGCATTTATTACAGACTTAAGTGTTATAATGTCGGCTTTAGGACGTAAAAGTCTCTTGATATTAGAATGTAAGATATTCACTCAATCAACAAATATTATTGAGTATCACTCAAAGCGATACACAGATTTCAACACTGGGGCAGAACACAGACCAAAGCGATAAAATCCCGGCCCTCTTGGGATTCATACGTTTGTGAGGGAAAAAAGGAAGGAGTGAGTGATGAAACACTTAGTGGGTCGCATTGTGATATGCTATGTAGAAGCAGGACGGCAGAGGATGGGGTGGGTCAAGCAAGAGGAAGGGGCTGAGGCTGTACATCAGATGGTGAGAACGAACTTCACTAAGAAGATGGCCTTTAAGCAGCTGGAGAAGAGGAGTGAACTATGAGGGCATCTGGGGAAGAGCCTTCATGCAGTGGAAACAGGTCCTGTAAGGTGCTGAGGATGGGGAATGCTGGGTAAGTGTGAGAAATAAGAGGAAAAAAGCTACAGTAGAATTATATGAAGACAAAATGTTCTTTCTTTGGTAAGTGCTTGTTGGTGATTGTGGGTCTTCTGTAAGGTTGTTGAAAAGATAATGAGTGATTGTGGTAGGTATGATCTAGCTTGTGATCTAAGAGAATCTTAGGGCTGCTTTGTTGATGATGGCACAAAAGTGGATAAGAAAGAAGCACATTGGACTCATTCAGGTGATAGATAATGGTGGCTCAAGCCACTGAAGAATGAGGTGGGGAGGATTGCTCAGCATCTCAGCGTCTTTTGAGTAGGACTAGCCAAATTGGCCAATGTGCTGATTTGGTATTTGACAGAAAAGGAGGAATACAAGTTGACTCCGGGTTTTTGTCCTGCCCAAATAGAAAAAGGGAGTTATTCTCTAGCAAGCTGGGAAGACTGTGTGGAAAAGCACACTTGGGAGTGCATCAGGAATCAGGTTTGGGAAAGCTTAGTCTGATATCCCAGGTGGTTGAGAAGACAGTCGGATATATGTGTCTCAATTTCATGGAAAAGTCCAGGTTCGCGCTTTAAAATCAGGGGTCCTGGCTTGGCTCAGTGGCTCACTCCTGTAATCCCAGCACTTTTGGAGACCGAGGCAGTCAGGAGTTCAAGACCAGCCTGGCCAACTTGGGGAAAGCCGGTCTCTACTAAAAATACAAAAATTAGCTGGGCACAGTGGTGCACATGAAGTCCCAGCTACTTGGGATGCAGAAGCAGGAGAATCTTTTGAACCCAGGAGGCAGAGGTTGCATTGAGCTAAGATCCCACCACTGCACTCCAGCCTGGGTGACAGAGGTAGACTCCATCTCAAGAAAAAAGAAATAATAAATGAATAAAATAAAACAATCGATAGTCATCTGCAAATGGGTGAGACTGGAAAAAGTTACTTGGGAAGTGAGGGTAGGAAAAAAAAAAAAAAAAGATCTGACAGAGAAGAGAATTGCCAAGGATACTAAAAGTACAGCCAGTGGGTTGTAGAAGAGCCAAGATACAGGGTTGACTGGAAGACCAGAGACAGTTGGGGGAGGATACAGTGGAAGCTGTGTGGTGCTGCTTTCAGGTGACCTGAGATGAGTGTAGGTGCTGCTGCTTAAATTCAGCAAAATATGGGGCATAGATAACCTTGACATGAGCGGTTTCAGAGGAAAACTGGAAAGGAAAATGGGAGGGAGGAATTAGAGACAGAGAATAAAACACCTATTTCAAAGAGTTTTACTGCCAGGGCCAGCAGCACCAGGGCCTGTGACTGGAAAGGATGACAGGAAGGCAAATATTTTTACAGTGAAGGGAATGATACAGCAGCCAAGGAAACCTGGATGTGGGATTGCATGCAGGGTGGAGGGGGTGTTTCCTTCTGTGGCATTTAATGCAGGATGGAGGGTATGTCTCCTGTTACGGGGTTGAATGAAGGATAGAGAGTGTGTCTCCTGGTGTGGGGTTTAATGCAAGTTAGAGGGCGTGCTTCCTGGTGTGGGATTTAATGTGGGGTGGAGGGTATGTCTCCAGGTGTGGGGTTTAATGTAGGATGGAGGGCGTGTCTCCTGGTGTGGGATTGAATGCAGGATGGAGGGTGTGTGTCTAGGTGTGGGATTTAATGTGGGGTGGAGGGTGTGTCTCCAAGTGTGGGGTTGAATGTAGGATGGAGGCTGTGTCTCCTGGTGTGGGGTTTAATGCAGGATGGAGAGTATGTCTCCTGGTGTGGGGTTGACTGTAGGATGGAGGGTGTGTCTCCTGGTTTGGGATTGAATGCAGGATGGAGGGTGTGTCTCCAGGTGTGGGAGTTAATGTGGGGTGGAGGGTGTGTCTCCAGGTGTGGGGTTTAATGTAGGATGGAGGCTGTGTCTGCCAGGAGGATCACTGGCAATGATTGGTAGGAAGAAGGCCGAGTGTCTGACTGAATGTGCAGGGAATCCTGAGGTCGGGGGCTGTGGGACTTCTCTTCTGAATAATTATGCTTCCTGGCACCCCTGCTTCTCAGTTAGGTCTATAATGTGTGGATTTAATGCGCTCCTCCAGCCTCAAGGGCACAGGACTCCTCAGAAACTTTTCTTGTTCTGAATGTCATACACTAGGCTTTGACCATAGGGTTCTTATAATGGAAGACAACAGGGTTCTTATAAGTGGATAGAATAGGGTTCTTAAAATGTTAGACAATAGACCTCTTATTAGGACAGGCAGGGGTGGTGAGTGGTGGGAGAGGCCACGACAGCCCCCAAGGCAGACCGAGGGGATATGTGGTCGCCATCTTGCTCGTCCATGTTGCTAATGAGGTTAATGATTCTCATCGGGTCATGCAGTACTTTCAGTTTGACTTAAACGTCCCTCAGCAACCATGAGGGCAGGCAAAGAGGCAGCCTGAGTGCTTTCTGGGCTAAAAAACCCTTCTCTTGGGGGCGATTTCCTTCCCAGAAAAGACCTCAGGCATGCGTCATTTATTATTTCACCTTCAGAGTCGTTCAGTCTTAGAGTTGATACAGACCCATCTCACCTGCAGAGATAATGACGGGATTTACCCCCTTTAGTTTTCAGAACTGTGCTTCTCCAAACTAAAGTAAAACTGTTAAGCAGCCTTATGAAATAAAAACAGAAAGTGACAACAACAACAAAAAATCCTTTACGTTCAAATATGTATTTCTTATTCCCAAACTAAAGACAGGGGGAGACTACATGCATTTGCATTTGCATTTCAACAACCCAACTTTACTCTTGCACTAATGGGGCAGAGTTTTTGTTTTTTTCTTAAATTCAATTTAAAGCTCAGTGCCAGGTTAACTGATTATTAAAAACTCATTTTTTTTTCTTTTTTAAAGAGGACGTAAAATTTTTAAAGGAATACATTTACTAATTTCTATGATTATACTGTAATTATTTTGTTTAATGAAGTAATTGATGTTATAGAATATCAATGCAGAAAAATACAGCCCTTTTAATAAGTTATTAGTTTTTTCAACTTATGGTATCCATGATTTTTTAGGATCAAGGCTAATTGTTTTGACTCATTATAGGTTCTGTTACTGCAAAGTCCTGTAAAATTTCTAAATTGCAAGTATTTTAATTCTTTGCTGTTTTTGTGTGCTGAATTAATTCTGCATGTTATGTTTTATTTCTGCATCTTTTCAGAGAGGGTTGTAATTGTATATGCAAAATGGTATGTCAGATAAATACATTTTTAAGTAGAGTATTTGATGGTCTCTAATTCTTTTTTGAATGTCAACAACTATTTTATCCAAATACCCAAATACTTTTGAAGGTGTTAATACACTATTTTACTTTTTGTTTTTGCTGGGATCCTTTCAAGGTAAAGAGTGGTTAGTAAAATGATCTCCTTTAAGTTGCTAAGAGTAAGATGCCAAGTAACAGAAAAATGAAACTCTCATGCTAGCAAGTGTGTATGTGTGTTGGCGTGTGTGTGTGTGTGTGTGTGTGTGTGTGTGTGTGTGTGTCCGCCTGTCAGCTCTAACCTTCCAGCTTACTTGAGTAGGTAAAACTAAATATTCATGGGAAAATTTATTTTAACATACCTCTTGAACTTGAATCTATCAAATAACTCAACATGAAATTCACATTCAAATAAATTCTACCAAATAAGAAATTATTAGACAATTATAATTAATTACAATCTTAATAGAAGAATCCAAATATATGCACAGTTAAAACTTTCATTTAGGCTGATCATATTGTGCCACTTTACATCTAAGAATGTCATGCAATAAAATATTAATTTCACTCTGAATAGATTTGAATAGATTGGCCCCATTGAAACCTTTACTCAGAAGCCGCCATGTTGTGGCAATTTGTCAGGATAACATCCTTGCCTGGTGAGACAGTTTCCTAAGGCATCACCACTTTCCTGCTTTTAATTTCTCTGGTTATGATGCAGATCAGACAGGAAAATGGACAACAGCATATTTCCTCCCAAATAAAAATGTGATGTATTTAGGCTCTTAACAGCCATGCTAAGGAAGAAGAAAAAATAGAGGCAAAAAGGAATAAAAAAAAAAAAAAAAGTGATGAGTTGCTTTATATAAACTTGAAGCATTTTGTATTTTATTGTTATTTCTAAACAAATACTCATCAGAATAATGTATGAAAATGTTCTTATCTAGAGGCTTACGAACTAGAAATTCATGAGAAACACGATGTATATTGTTAATTACATATTTTAGGTGGAAATTAAAATAACATCAAGTCTCGATGATTCAGAAAAGAAAGTTTAAAACATGATTAAATAATATTTTTTTCTATTTTGAAGAAAATGATGGTTTGTCATTGATTCTCCTTTCACTAGCCGTCTCTGGTTTATGGAGGTGTGCGCTGAGTTGCCATGTGTCCTGAAATAGTACAATGAAGTTGCCCTGACATGAACAAATAAAATGAATTTCAGGATTTTTCTTTTTTTGAGGTGGAGTCTCACTCTGTTCCCCAGGCTGGAGTGCAGTGGTGTGATGTCAGCTCACTGCAACCTCTGCCTCTAGGGTTCAAGCGATTGTCTTGCCTCAGCCTCCCCAATAGCTGGGATTTCAGGTGCACGGCACCACGCCCAACTAATTTTTTTTAATTTTATTAGTGATGGGGTTTCACAATATTGGGAAGGCTGGCCTTTGGACTCCTGACCTCAAATGATCCACCTGCCTTGGTATCCCAAAGTGCTGGGATGACAGGCGTGAGCCACAGCGCCCTATATATCCTCCCATGATGAGGAATATTATGAACACACATTTTAACATTTTAAGAGTTTTGAGTACTACAGGTTAATACTATGGGGAGAATGCACCAAAAGCTAGGGAGGAAAAAAGAAGCTATATTAGTAATTCATCTCCATGCATCTGAAATTGAGCAGTGGGGAATTCTATCCACTTATCTCCCTCTTCACTATGGATGAAAATTCAGTCTGAAGTCATAACCTTTGCAAAGTGGTGGAACTCCGGAGGCACCACTGAAGCACCGTGGGACTTCCTCTTCCCTTGAGTTCCTAGCCGGGTAACTTAGGCGAAGAGGGCATTTAGTAGACACTGAACTGAGAGTGTAGATGGGTCAGAGCAACTATTCCCCAACCTGGCCTCTGAGAATAAGCTTTAAAAGATTTCCTAGGTGTATTTAAATATGACTTTCTGAAGTTGAATTGGCATCAAAATATGTGCTGTTGCGCAACATCGTACATGTACCTAAGGCTGCCAAAATGTGCTCTTGGACTGGTTAAAATATCTTAATGTTTTGTATATTTTACCACAATTATGGAAAAACGTGTGCAAGCATTTTCAAATTATTTTTTTTTTCTGAAAAAGGCCTTTTTAGGACTTGGATCACAAACGCTTTGCATAACTTTCACTTGTCTATAGTTTTGTGATTATGTGTAGTAAGCGAAACAAAGTTAAGTGTCCTCATGGTATGTTCAGTTACTCTTAGCCTGGCAAAATCCTCAGGTCAGTTCCATCAGCCTTTAGCCCTGTTTGAGTAGGGTTACGTATGCATGTTTTGTTAAAATAACGTACCCGGGATACGAGTTTGGGTTTAAAGAATTTTACTAGAAAGGCTCTCAAAAGTGGTTGGACTAGTATGTTCAAGCACAAAGGACCCCTGGATGTTATTAACCGTCTGGAAGAGAAATAGTGATAAGCATTTTAATTTTCCATGCAGGACTTTTAGGGACCTTTACATGTTCATTATCAGTCTCAACAAAAAAAGAAAACAGTTTCACTGGTTGTTATTGGCCAAGGGGCTTTTTAATTTGCATCAGACTAGGTCACCTTTGCTAGAAATATTCTGAGAATCTGACCCAAATTCCTCATTTTTCAGATAACAAAAAAATATTCAGGCTCTGGAAGTCAAATGATTTTTCCAAGAGCACAGACAGACTGGGGTTTAACTCGCTGAGTCCTGGCTGCTAATCTATTCTTTCCCATGGTCAATCAACCTGCTTTGATGAACATTCAGGTGACACAGGTCCTGCCTTGCAGGCCAGCTCTCCTGGTGGTTATTAACGAGCAGTGGTGTGGTAGATTACGCCCTGTGCAATCATCTCTACCAATTATCCTTCCCAGCCATGGCATGGTCTGGGCCAGCAGTCAGCCTATTCGTCACGTATCCCTGGCGATGACGCCCTTTCCTGCTTACCTTGGCGGCAGCTGAATTTACTTGATGGATGGACTACAGGTAGGAGTTTAAATTGTTCTGAGACAACAGTGTTCTTCAGAGTCCCCACGAGTGTGCAGGTGAATTTCGAGGCAAAAAGTCTGGATGCTCAGAATGTCAGTTGATAGAAAAAGATAAATGTTCAAGAAGCAAAGATTTCATTTGTGGCTTTTCTCGGGGTGCAGAAGTGACTTTTATTAACTCCCGGAGGCTCCTCTGGGTGGCGTTGCCCTCCTTTCCCCAAGGTCTTACTGAGCCACTTGCTACTACAGATGCTCAGGGCAGGGCGGGAGGGAACCAGCTGTTTAGGCAGCTCTCCAATGTCCAATGTAGGAAGCCTGTTGTCAGTTCTTCTTATTATTATGTTTTTGTCTATTTATTTGCTTTAATCTAACTTCAGCTTCTCAAAGCCCAAATTATTTTTTTTTTAAGAAATGTCTTTTTAGGACTTGGATTATAAACGCTTTGCATAACTTTCACTTGCCCATAGTTTTGTGGTTATGTCTAGTGATCAAAACAAATTAATTGTCCTCATGGTATTTTCAGCGACTCTTAGTCTGGCAAAATCCTCAGGTCAGCTCAACCAGCCCTTAATGATGACTCGGTGAGCTAAACTATAACCTCCATCTGGGCAGAAAGAGTGTTTGACCACTTTTTATCACCTACAGAAGCGAACCAGATAGAGGCATAACTGAATAGTTGTGTTACTGAATTTGGCATCTGCCGTCACATTGATTCAGAAATTTAAATGACAGTTCTTGATTTGTGGGAGCAGCCAGGCTTCGGACAATCAGATTTTTAAAGTAATAGCCTTTAACCTTTTTCTGTACTTCTGTGGTTTTTATGTTTTCTTGATTATTTAACAATAATAATATTAACAACTATATTATTGACTGACTTACTGAGAACATATGACGGACCAGGTACTACACAATGCACAAAGACCTCACTTTACAGAATAAGATGGAAGCTTCTTATTCTGTTTACAGAATAAGATGGAAGCTTCTTATTCTGTTTACAGAATAAGACTGAGGCAAAACACTGATACCTACTGTATCCCCCAAGTTTTCCAAATTGCCTAAAAATTAAAAGCAATACCTGGGAAAATCATAACTGGGAAAAGATTAGCTGACCCATCATAACTTTCTGCGTGTTACAGGAATCTTGATTCAATTATCTGGTAGAGCTTGTGAGTGTAGACACAGAAGGGGTTTTGAGATGGTGGTAAGGCTCTGTGAAGGTTCTCTTCTACTTGCTTCTGTTTTTTTTTTTTGTTGGTTTGATCTTTCTTCCACTAATGGCTTTTCTAAGTCATTGATGGCCTTTGATGTCTTCTCATACTCTAGAGAACTAAAATGTACAGGTTTATGTGGTGTAGGGACAGACCGTTGGGTGGACAGCTTCCTCCATTGCAGATGGATGTGCTGGACAGTGTTGTTACTGGTTCCTTGCCTTAGCTTCTCTAGGCATTTTCTCTGGTCTGGTGAATTTCCTCTGCTAAGAATTCTCTAATATCCTTCCTGAGTGTAATAAGAATTCCTGTAAGAATTCTCAGAGCCAAGTAGGAAAAGGAGATTTGGAGGTCCACCTTTCAGAATGTATATTTTCTTTTAATCTCAATGTAGGCTAGCCCAGCATCCCATAGTCTAATTGAGCATCTCTGGAGAGAAAGCCTCCAGTCTATTGCTGGAATGTGGGAATGGCAGTGCCTCTCCTGTCAAGTAGGGGATGGTGTCAGGGGATGTGAAATTGTCTTATTCACTATTCTCAGAGGTCTTTTTTTTGGAGCACTGTTTTCACATGTTTTGACACACATCTGAGGCCTCCTGCTCTTGAGCCTTCCTGGGATTCTGTGCTGCAAATTGGCTTGTTTCACGAATTCCCAAATTACCCATTTAAATTTCAGCTTTATCAATTCTGCTAAGTCAGTTCCAGTTGTCTGTTAACCCAGTAGCTTCTCAAGTTTTGCTGCTGTCAATGTGTTGTTTTTTTTTTTTTTTCTCACTTTCCTTGTAGAGATGGGCTTCTTTGTGCCTTTGAAACATTTTGTGAGCAAGAAGTGGTAAGTCCATGAGTGTATTCAATATGCCATGTTTAACTGAAAATTCTCCAGAGCAGGTGTTGATACATTTCATACATTTCATTTTATATATGTTGTATTTGAAATATTTATGGGGCAGAGACTAAAGCCAGATTGAAATGCAGAATCACGGATGGAGCTTCAGTGATATTCCTCCGCTCTTTACATTTCTATTCTCTGTCTTGTCCGTTGTATTCCTCTCTTGTTTAAATGAAGTGATTTCCCCAAACTAAAGTTTGGGTTTTTCGCTCATGGGAAAAGCTGGACAATCACTGGCCTCCTCCTGCGGGCACATGGCATGGCAGAGGAGAGCACCCCAAGGGCTCCTCTGGGCGCCTGCGCACTCAACCGTGTGGTGTGAACTGTGCACACACATGTTCTATCAGGAAGCCTACTTATTCCTCCCACATCCAGTCCCAAATCTTCTTACTTGTTACCCCAAGCTACTTTTCCTCTTGTAGTTCTCACTCAGCCCCATGGTGTCTTACCTGAGCTGCGTTCGGTGCGTTATAAGGATTTCTTGGGTGGCCCCATATTCTCCACCCTGTTTCTCTGTCTTTCTCATCCCAGCTAGTGAATTGCTCAATGCATGCACCTGGGAAATGTTCTTGATCTTCCCTTTCCTTCTTTTGCTAAGCCATCTTCAAATTGTGTTGATTCCACCTCCAAAATATACCACTGGTCCTTCCTCTCACATGGACCCTTATCACTCTAGGAAAAGCCACAATTATTTCACACAAAACCTAAAATTGTTTAGTAATGTCTCCATGTTTCCACTCTTGCACTAGGATTAGATATTTCTTACACAAAGTGATGTTTTAAAATTAATGCATGAGGTCTTCTCACTGCCCTGACCTCTAATGCCATCCCATGGACGTCGCATACTGCTAAACACTAACCGTTGTCTAGAGGCCTCTGTGGGTCCTCCTCATGGTGTGGTCCTCTTTCCTGCTGTTGTACATGCTAACCTCCTTCTCACGCTTCAAATTTCCAGTCAAATAACCTTGTCAGGAAGGCCTCACTGACAAGTATCTCTAAGTTATCTTGAGACTGGGCATGGTGGCTCACGCCTCTAATCCCGGCACTCTGAGAGGCGAAGGCGAGCACATCACCTGACGTCAGGAGTTCAAGACGAGCTTGGCCGACATGGCAAAACCCTGTCTCTACTGAAAATACAAAAAATCAGCTGGGCATGGTGGCACGTGCCTGTAATCACAGGTACTCGGGAGGCTGAGGCACGAGAATTGCTTAAACCTGAGAGGCAGAGGTTGTAGTCAGCCTAGATCGCACCACTGCACTCCAGCCTGGGTGACAGAGTGAGACTCCATTTCAAAAAAAAAGCATTAAAAAATTTTTAAAAAATTATCTTGAGTGATTCTCTCCATCATATTACAAGTACATCGTTTCCACCTGGTATTAATTCGAGATTTTGTCTTTCTATGCACTCCCCACTACAATAAAAGTAACTTACAGATAATTAGCTCTACTAAGTAAGACATTAATACATAATGGCTATCTGGTGACATTAAAAATATTATTTTCAGGAAAAGAAGTCATTCAAACCAAGTTACATTGTGAAGACAGTCCCCAAAATAATATTTAAACTCTTGACTTGTGTAGCAGTATTATCCAAATGATCTCACTCTTCATTAGTGAACAAAGATTTGCTTAAAGTGATATAGTGTTTTTTGGGTTGGAGCCAACCGTAGAAATTGAGACCAATAATTTTTAAGTTTTTTTTTTAACATAAGCATAAATGTTTAAGTCACGTTTGCGGTGTTCACGAGAAATGTTGGGAACACCCAAGAGACGGAAGGAAATTCAGGACTAGAGTTCAAGAGAGAGGTTCGGGTATGAATTATGATCAGAGCCCAATTACCATGGAGGCTCTGTAATTAATTTTATAAATATTTATTGAGCACTTACTCTGTGCCAGGGGGATGTGCCCAATTCCAGCTCAAGTTACGAAAGTGAATGAAATTACTGAGAGAGAAGAAAAGACCTGCATTTGAACTGAAAGAAATAATCACATATTTGTAAAGTGGTAACTATATTTAGCAGATGGAGTGGTAAAAGAGGGTGAAAAAATAATTTTACAGCAGAAATTCTGCAGAACACGGGAGGGGAGATGGGAACACAACACCAGGTGCTACAAAAAGGGCACAGATGAAAGGAGGCTGGGTCTGATCATTTACCCTGGGTGTTAGAGGAACAGGAAAAGTGATAGAGTAGACGGTGTACCTCTAACGTATGACCATTTTAGTGGGAAATGACACAAAGTGTGACTTGAGGATAATTTGTGTAATTGCTGTACACCGGGAGTATTTGATTAGACATACGTTGGAAAAAATAGCATTGCTCAGAGAATGACCCCAAGGGTTCAGATCCAAAATGGAAAGATCATATATTTGATTTTTGCTATGAAAATAGGAGGTGATGTCTCAGGAAAAGTATAGGGGAAATAATTGTCAGAATAAAAGGATTGACACTGAGAAAACAGAAGTTAAGTCTGTATATTGTTACAGGACCAAATCAAGAGACTGATGAAAACAGCCAGGTTTGTATTGAAACCAGTCACCATCACTGTAATGGTTGCCTCTATTTGAAGAGATGTATCCAAGCTTTAGAGCCTAACCACTGTCCCACTAATACTGAAATCACTGTCGGTATGAAACAGTATATGATTTTATTGAAATTAAGCAACTGTAAAATTAATCATTATTACAGAGAACATAGACAACTTGACTCAGAAACAAATTCAAATGTGAGTTTAGAGGCATAAATGCAAATATTATTTATTAGAAAAAGATCATACAGCAAGTGGAGGTTGAGACTTTCATGGAAAATATGAAGCATGGCAGAATAAAAGTAGGTATATAATATAAAGGTCATTTTCGAGTTGAGATAGAGAAAAGTTTAAAGAAAATCATTAGAAATGACCAAACAAAATCAACAGTTTGAATATTCTGCATTAATGAATAGGCTAAGAATTCACAGTATAGGAAAGTCAAACTTGGATGTATTGCTATTGTCACACGCAATTCAGATAAATTGCTACATCCCTGGGATACTCATAAAATGAAATGAGCAAAGTGCCAACAAGAGTGATTAGGAATTTATAACTAGTGTTCCATTACTAGAACGTTCAGCATGTAGGAGTTACTTATACCCTGCTGTTCAAGGTCATCGCCAATGTCCGATTGCAAAAATTCAAAAAATTGCAACCTCAGGCATCAGTGGGTTAATAAGCCACTGCCAGAAACCCATCAGTAAAGCATAGGTTTTCTTTTTGTGAGGTTGGATATTTCTTCTTCACTGTTTCCCACCAACTACCATGGCATTACCTGGAGCCTCTGCACATTTCTTTGCTCCTGAATCTTGTTCTTCTTCTTTGCATAGTCTCATCTGAAACCACCTCCTCTTATGTTTCCTTTCTGGCTCACCTTTTCACATTTTCTTTTTGCATTTGAATCTTACTTGAGAGGGTGATCGACCTCATACTCTGTGGTCTCTTAGCCCAACAATCCTGCCCTAAATGTTCCAGTATCCTATAACACCGTAGAGTATAGAAGTCATACAGTTGTATTTCCTAAAACTTTAAATTCAGACAACAAAATTAGCTCCTAATTTTTTTTTTTTTCTGATGAGGTCAACTGAGTCAACTTTTTCAACAGTTTCTCAAAAGATAACTTGCCTGTTCACCAAATGGTTTCCCTTCAAGCTCACACCTTTGCTGCGTAAAGCCTTCCTTATTCAAGAAGACACTTCCACCACCACCTTCTCCCTCCCCTTGATGCCAGGGACGAGTCATGTGACCCTTACCTGTGTTTAATTCACTGTGTATAGCTATGGTATAACGTGTCTTATATCACCATTATAAAATGTGTCAAACTATATTAGAGTTATATTTCATGAAATGAAGTTCCCTAATATTAGAGAAAATATAGTTGATTGTTAGAGTCCAAGGCAGCACCTGGCACACAGGGGATTCACAGTGCTTGCATGGACACTTGGCTTATATGAAAGACTTCTGCAAATTCTAAATCCCATATCTAGATAGAAGCATTTTTATATCAAGAAGAGTAATTGTTGCTAGCTATAACTTTGCATGATAAGCAGCGGCATGAAAAGTATTCAGTAGTTATTTCTGGGCTTTTCTACAAAGTACTATGTAGACTAGCACTACACCAACTAAAATGTCAGCCCCTATCTACTATATTGTATAACAGACACAGGACACTACCTGATTTAATGCATTAGCATCAAAGACTTATCCTTTAAGAGACACAAGACAATTCTAGTTAGAGAAGTCTTAACCGTGGGGACCTATCCTAGGACAGCCATTTTGAAAAAAGGTTTGTTGGAGCTGTTGGCTTTTGAAAGGGATGCTGGAAATCAAAACTGGGCAAGAAAAGAAGGAAAAAAGGGAGACTGTCAAGCTGGTGTGGGTCTGACACCCCATCCTCATGTTTACCTCTTTCTTGTGTTGGAATTCTGTGTGTAATTTCATCTGGAGACTTTCTCTTTTCTGTAAAGAGAATGGTAATTTTAAAGGTCTTAAAACATCTCCATTCGTTTATACCCCCTCCTCCTAGATGACTGGTGCTTACATGAAACATGAGAAGCTTCCCTTCACTCAGTCATTTACGAAAGAACACAGGGCTGTGAGGCCCAGCATTCACACTTCACGGTGTCCTCAGCACCTTCCATCTGGAGGGCTCCGTTGGCAGTGGCAGCAGACTCAGGCCGGGTTCTTTGATCTTGAGAATTCTTAGTCCCGTGGGGGTACTGAATAAGCACTAATTCTATTAATGAGTAAAATTTTACTAATTACTAATTTAACAAGCTTTACTTACTTACTTAGGAACTTCAAATAAGTATTAATTTTACCATGCACACAATAGTACACACTATTCTGATGGTGTGTGCACCATGTTAAAAGTGATGAGATCAAGGGAACTGAAAGCATCCCTGCAGTTACTGAGGTGACAGATAGAATTGACTAGGCAACCACAGGGAGAAGGTCAGGTCTCGTAGAGTGAAAGGATTCCAGGCAGAAAAAAAGGGCATGTGCAGGAACAGGGAAGGAAGAAGGCCATCGCAATGTTGACAAAGCCACAAGTGTCATAGGCTGGTCCTGTCCTGTGAAAAAATGGGATTACATAAAAAAGGCAGGTGGCAGCCAGATTGAGAAGAGGACTGCATGCCAAGAAATAGCATAGTGACCTCCCTTTCTTCCCATAGGCTGGCGTGGGTGTGCAGCTGTCAGGAAGTTAGAGGACTGGCTATTTGTGGCTGAAATGGGCACCACTCTCTGAGTTTAAGTCTGGATAAAAATGCCAACAAAAGAAACTGGCATGTTCAGTCCTGCATGAATCCACGTTCTCTTTGTTCTTGTTTAATTTTTTTGTCCCTGCTTTATTCTTAACATCATAGAATTAATCACATAAACCCTGCCTTTTCCATGCACTGTGTTCTTTGAAATGTTAGTGCCAGAAAAGGAGAGAATAGATATTCCACCAAGAAAACAATGTTTTAAAGAAAAAGTGACAGGAAGTATTACTCATGAAGATTCACATGTACATTTGAGTTTTAAAGAATCTGCATATTAAAGTCTGTGTTTTTAGAAAACCTCATTTAAAATTATTTTCAATTCTTGTATGATCCAAATTTATGTTCAAAGTAAACATGTTTTTGCATATTTCATGTATAAATTTTAGGGAAAAAATGCCTGATCTATGATTATCAGAACAATGTAAAGGATCCTGGTCTCTGGAAGAAAAAAAAAAAACTCTCTATGTATTCATAAAACCCCGGCCCCCAAATTCTTTTCTCAGTGTAAAATATTCAGGAAGCATTGAGTCTTTTGTGTTACTAATGATTCAGACATGGTATCTTTGCCTGAATCTGTTATTCATGTTCTATCTAAAATTTTTGCAAGAAAGGAAGTGCCATCTGTGGACATCTAAAAGCCAAATGTAACTATTGGGTGGTGGGGAGGGAGGAGATGAATATTATGAAAAGTACAGCATTTGGCTATGAACAGGAGAAAAGCACATCTCTGATCAAGAATTTCTACCTAGAGGTCGCAGCTGGTTAAGCCTTTATGCCGTGGACACAAGGTCCCTATCAGCCCCTGTTTGGGATGCGTCCCCTCTCCCTAGGTTGGCACCCTGAGAACTGAGACCTATTCACTTGTCCGGAATAGAAGCATTGTTTGTATTTCGTTGGTTCCATGGCTTTCTCTGAGCCAGCTTGGAAGAAATCATTAAAACTGAGGCAGAATTGAACTTGACTTTCTCAGTAATCCTGACAGAGTAAGCTGTGCCTGTATCTCACGTGAAGTGAGCTTCGTTTGTGCTCATTAAAAGTGAGCTGAAAACAAAAACAAGTTGTAAAACTTAAAAAAGAATATACATTTTTTTAAAAAAACGCTATCTAAACCTGGTGGTCATAGTTTTTTTATTTCAAATTTGTTCGTATTTTTGAGCTTCTCTTAAAGTTATACTACATTTGAAATGTGCATCACAGCATTTAGAGGAAATATGTCAAATATGGGAATATGTAGTTCTCTGTGATGAACTCTTGCCTATATCCACGTTAGCTACACACACACCAAACACACTCATACTCATACACACACACATACACGTGCATGCAAATACATACTCAGTGTTTCTGTTCAAAATTCTAATAAGGTGGGCCAGGCACAGTGGCTCATGCCTGTAATTCCAGCACTTTGGGAGGCCAAGTCAGACAGACTGCATGAGCTCAGGGGTTTGAGACCAACCTGGGCAACAGAGGAAGACCCTTTCACTACCAAAAATACAAACATTAGCCAAGTGTGGTGGTGCATGCCTGCAGTCTCAGCTACTTAGAAGCCTGAGGCATTTGAATCGATTGAATCCAGGAGGCAGAGGTTGCAGTGAGCCAAGATCGCACCACTGCACTCCAGCCTCAGTGACAGAGTGAGACCTTTTCTCAAATAATAAAACTAATACTATTACTACTAATTTTAATAAGGTAAAATTTTCTTGTAAAAGTCTCAAACATTTCAAGGCTTACTTCCATTTTAGTCCATTCATTTAATTTCCATCTATTGAGCCGTATCCTATGTAAAGATGTGCTAAATTAAAATACAAAGTAGAGATCCAAGAACTAAGCCAAAACAAAACAAACAAAAAAACTGGAATGAAATTGAGGGAGTAAGATGCTGGATAATTCAGTAGGTCAGATATTTATTGATCATTTTGCATTTTCCTTTTTGTCCATTGTTACTTACATCGTCAGAACTTTGCCCCTTTCTGTTTGTGTGCCTTGAAAGACACCATGTGTTAAATGCACTGTGGTTACATAGTCGTATGCTAGTGTCTAATTAATGAGTCATCCCTCCATTCATTCATTAGTATCTGTAGGACCTCACCTTCACCTCATCTGATTCTCAGCCTAAACACTGGGGTTCAATAACTGTCTCTTTTCTTATCTTTCTCAATGCAAGTTAGTTTGCGTTCCACCCTCACCACAGCTGGCAGGGAACCCCATCTCAGCCATGTTCTACCCCATTCCCACCCTTTCAGGAAATCACACAGGAGCCCACGGCTTCCCACCAGGGAGGGCCCATGGCTGCTTTCATCTCAGTTGCTGAGCAACAATCACCCTACTCTGCATTTTAAAATTCATTAAAAACAGAAAGCTGACATTTGATTTTTCTTTCACGTTGCAAGTGGGAGAGCAAAAGTGTTTTATTTCTAGACGTTGTGTGTCTGTCATTTCTACATTAACGCACCACCAAATTTTATTTAGCAAGTGTTTTTCATTCTAGTAACTGGCCAGTATCCGGGCAACTGTTCCTGTTCTCACATATTAGCTATTACCATAAGCACTACCAGCAGTGATTAGGATGGATTGAAGCATGTAAATTTCAAAGAATAGCCTTTTTTTGTGCACGGCCCTTGAGAAACTCTCTGAATTGCATGTCTGGAGCAGAGAGGTGTGGTGTGAGCAGAGCTGCTCATTAGACCTGACAGGACCCCGCCTCACTTGCTGACAGAATGGAGCCACCCAGCTGGTTCATAGACAACAAGTACCCATTAGTGAAATATGATTCACATTCTCAACTATGTCTCTCCCCATTTGGTTTATATCCTAGTAAGAAATTTTCCAGATGTTGTCTTTGAGTCTAAGCATGCTCCACTGGGTGAAGCATCTATATTCTTCCATCTTAGACATTAGCTCAAAGTGACCTTAGAGTGGGTCTTAAATTAGTAACTCAGTTTTAAAAATAAGAAAACAAAGACTGAGAGGCAACATGACTTGGAAGCCAACGCTAGGTGTTAGGTCTTCAGTGGGTATGAGGGAAGGAAAGCTAGTTGGGAATGAGAAGAAGTGTCTTCTTTCCAGCTCAGCCTCTAAACTGTTGTCCTCATCTTCCTGTAGGATGGAAAGCTGGACTAGAAGGGTGTTTCCCAAATGCCAGTCCATGAACTGGCTGGTAAAAGCAATGAGATTGTTCAATAGCTTGTAAAAAAAAAAAAAAAAAAAAAAAAAGAATAAGGCCGCTGTTGTAAACTTTTCACAATGTTTCATATTCATGTATGTGGTTACATATAACTAATTATTTCTGTTCTTAGATTTTTAAAAATTGTACTTTACTGATAACATGGTGGCAGTAGTAGACAGGATCATTGTTTAGATAACTACCACCTACTGACAATGTCAGGCCTTGATCAACTATTCTTTATTTTAGAAAAAAAAAGGCTACAAATTTCAAAATTTTATAATGTCTAATCTAAATAAGCTTTAGGATCGCTTCCATCTGCCAGTCTGAAAGGACAAATGTTAAGTACATTTTTCATGATTTTCTGAACTACCTGGGACGTTAATGTCAAAACATGAAAAGTATGGCTTTCATCTTAGTGAGATTCTCTATGTGTAAAGCCTTTTAATTGGTGGGATTTTCTTCAAGTTACCTGTAGATACATATTTGGGTGGTAGGTATCTAGTTTTGACTAAGTTTGTAGAATAGTATTTATCTGAGTCAGTCAGTTAAAGGATGCAAAATTAGCTAAGGTATAATAAGTTAAAACAACATGGAGAGAAAATAATATATATATATATATATATAAATAGGGAAGTGACAGAGTCTTTTTTATCATAATAAAGGACACTTCTTCTCCTACATGGTCTTTGAAATCATGACTTTTACGTTCCGTTGACAAGGCATATTCTTTCTTACAGTTGAAAAGGAATTATTAAGGTCCTTTTATTGCATTACAGCTGCACAAATGCAAGTTTCAACTGCTATTTTATAACAGAAGACATACTGCTAAAAATGTCTCTAAGATAGGAATACAGTTGACTTTATTACCCTTTCTTCCTAATAGTACATTGATGATGTTGGAAGAATGTTTTCTGTAGATATGATGTTGGGTTATTAAAGCAAGTTAGTGTTTTCTCACCCTCAAAGACTCCTACTGAAAAATTATCATCTAAAGTCCAGAAGTATGTAAAAACAGTTTGAAGAAAATAGTTTGTGAAGGAGGTTGACATTTGCAGGGCTCTTTGTCAACTCCCCACTTGCAAAGTCAGGTTGCTTCATGTTCAACTTGCCTAAAGTCTGCATTTCAGCTAAGGATACTGCCATATTTACAGATTTTAGTACGATGGGATATTTACTGTTCTTATGGAGCAACTTGGAGATGACTTTTGCCGTTTCAGCAAAACTTCTATCTAATTTGAGTAAACATTTCTTGGAATGCTCAAAAGTATACAAAAGATAAAACTGAAAATAAATACATTCAAACACCCAGTGAAATTTTCAAAATGAGCTAAAATCTTCTCATTTGTCATGCGTAAACTGCTATATGTTTGTAGACAAAATTCAGTGATGCTGATTTAGGTAAAATAATTTTAAATGAATTGCATTACTTCAAAGAAAAACAGGGAATAAAAGAAATGTAAAGAAATTTAACAGTTGGATATAATGATAGCAGATTAAAGAAAAGAACCAAAGAAAAGGGATCAATCTTTGGATTTCTTTCAGTTTCTTTTCCCCCTATCTGAGGTGCTTAATTTATGCCAGCTAAAAAAAAAAAGGCAAATGACTTTCCCTGAAATACATGTACAAGGATGTTTTTCCTGGATAAATTATTTAGTGATTAGAACACACATTTCAGGAATATATAACAGCAAGAAAATTCCCAAAATGTAATGTACAATGATATGTGAACATGAATTTCTTAAGGAAGGAAATGTGTTTGTATTTTAAAATATTTTTGAAACTTTTATTTCATTGTGGTTCTTTCTGTTTGTAGTAATTGCCTGAAGAGATTTTTTCATTTAGAGAAGTTTAAAGCAGAACTCCAGACAATCGAGTTTTTCATTAAGTCAACCATTTCTTATAGAAAATATGGTCTGAGGGACCAAGAAGACAACACTGCTGTGAAACATTTCTTTCCCGAGATACATGATTCTTTCCAAGACTGATAGTCTTGAGACCTTGTAGATATGCTCGTATTTACTCATTGAATTCAAAAGATCTTTCATATTTCAGTATGTTGAAGATTTTGTGATTTTTAGTGTTTAACATTACAATTAAATGAGCAAAATGAAGTGGAAAATTGGCTTTCTTCAGATAAGTGTTTTTTTTTCTTGGCTAATTGTATAATTAATGAGATATTATTTAATTAGCTATTGTTTTGCTCTAAACATTTTAGAAAATTGGTCAGATATTGTGTTTCCTATTTGTGCTTTCTTAAAAGTCAAAGATGAACCAATTTCACACTAAGATATAAGAGAAGAAAATTTTCCTGAATTATTGTCTGTTTGCAGTTCAAAGTTAGAAACTTGATCTTTTTTGTTTAAAATGACTGAGATTTATATAACCCACCAGTTTCCACTATAAAATCCTGAGAAGAAAAAGTTGGATTTGAATGTCTCAAAGTTGGTATCATACAACTTACTTGACACAGCACAATCCCACACTTGACATGGAATCTAACAGTAGAGGATGAAAATGAAAGCATCAAAGAAACAAACAAAGAGCAGTCCTCTGCCCCTCCTGTGAGAAAGTCATGCCCAGCATGCTGGCTTGGGGAGGGAGTGAAGGAGCTCCCACAGATGGGCTGAGGCAGCATCAGATTTGACACACAGTGACAGGAGAAATGCTTTGCCCAGGAAGGAGGAAAATGATCAGGAGCTCTCCTGGTACAGGGCTGGTGAGGTAGGAGGTGGGACTTGACTCAGGAAGCAGGGCTTAGACACTGGACCAAATAGAGAACTAGCTAAAACAGATCTGGGGCAGAAGCAGCCTTTCATAAGACACCTCCTCCAGTGTGCCATGCCAGTTTACCATTGTCATAGCAACACCCAGACGTGGTCACCGCTTTCCATGGAGACCACCTGTCAACACAGAAGTTACCACCTACATTCTAGAAATTTCTGCATTAACCGCTCCTTATTTTGCATGTAATTGAAAGTGGATATAAATATGAGTGTAGAACAGCCTCTGAGCTGCCACTCTGGGCACATGGCCTATGGTGTAGTCCTGCTGTGCTAGGAGCAGGACATCTGGTGCTGCTTCAGTCAATAAAAGTTGCTGTGTGACACCACTGGCTTGCCCTTGATTTCCTTCCTGGGTGAAGCCAACAACCCTCCCAGGCTAAGCCCCAATTCGGGGGCTTGTCTTTCCTGCATCACGGGGACAGGGAAAAGGAAAGGCAGGTGGACAAATGCCAGAAGAGGCAGCATGGCAGCAAGGAATCTCACGCGGCTCCTGTTTCCCAGAGAGGAGGGGCCATGGGAGTGAGGTTAAGGGAAGTGTTCGGGAACTAGCAGATGTGACAATGTCCTCACTTGGCTTGATGAGGAGTTCACACCTCATACAATTCCACAGGAACCCTGGAGAGTCTTCGGCATCAGAAGGATGGGAATCTATGTGTCCTTTGGAATTCTTTCTGTCCCTGTGAGTTTGAGGGAAGATGTCTCATAGATGGGAACCACTGAAGAGCAAGCTGTGAAATGAAGGAAAGAGGCCAGCTGGCTGCCTCTTTTTCGTTTAGAAATCTGGGCAAGTGTCTTTTTAAAAGTGTTGAAAAGGTGAGCGATAAAGCCACCTACATCTGGAAAGAACCTTGGGCTCTAGGGCAGATTTTGGTTTTAGATAGAAATCATGAAGATGTGTTAACACTGTAAATCATCAGCGAGCAAGGGTGAAGAGAGGACAAAAAAAGAAAAATTCAAGAAGCAAGAAGTCAGAGACAGGAGAGAATACAATTGGATTCATTATGGTTCACGGCATAAGCAGAAAGCAGCTTTCACTGGTAGGTTTTTCAGCTCTAAATTGCGTACTGCAAAGGGTCAAGTTTTTATCTGTTATGTCTACAGGGCATATATAAAAAGAAATTTAAGAAAATCTCACACTCCCTGGTATTTTGAATGGATACTTATTGCTACCTCAATTTTCCAACCAGATATTAAACAACTGTAAAACCGGACAGTTTTCTAGATGTTCTTCTTCTGATTTCTGTAATACAAAATTTCCACGACAATATATTCTCCATATTCCATGCTTTTTATTGCCTTAATTCTGCTATATTTTTAATCATTTCTTGACTCATCATGATGTTTTGCATAATTGGTTTTATGTCATTCTACTGCATATCACGGCCTTAGTTTTATGACTCTATATTCATTTTCTTAACATTAATTTCAGTAGGAAAAAGAAAATAGAATGAGTCAAGTCAATCTGATATTGAAGTTTAAAAATATAATCTGTTCTTATGGTATATCACAGATTAATAAACTACAGAACGCAGATGAATAGAAACATCAATTATCAATTTTTTATAGCCAAAGAAATTTTGAAAAACCATAATAGAGTTTTCATAACATGGTAATTATAATAGGCCAGTAACTCAATTCCTTGGGGAAATGCTTCCCTCTTACTCCAGGAAGGATTCAAATAAGACCTGATTTGCTTTTATTTCTTCTCCAGTCTTTTTTTCTAATTCTTCTTGTTTCTTGTCCTCTGTGTATTTGACCGAGAAGGCAATTATAACAGGAGCAGTTACCTTTCAAAGCAAGAAGAAATATCTGTGTTCCATAGCTGAGTCTATTTTCATTTCTAACACCTTAGCCTCCACAATATGTTTGGATATGTTTTATTAAGAAAATCATCATGTGTATGAAATTGCTTGTCCTGATATTGCATTAAATAGATAGTAAACACATATCTGAACAAAAGTGAATTACCCTCATATATTTACATATTCTCCTACTGTTGGACTTTTAGGTTTTAAACTTTTCTCTGCTTAACTATTTCATGCTATAATGAATATTGCCTAAAGATAAATTCTTAGGCATGGAAGAAATAGACTATTTAATATAAATATAGTTATGTTTGTTGCTCCATGAGGACTAATTTCTCCACCTATATGGAACCAATTATCACTGACATCACCAGGGCTGAGGTTGCATCTGTTTCAACATAATTATTGTAACTTTTGCTATTGCCAGTTCTAATGGTTTGCTATCCTAGTAGATTATCGAAATGTTACAGTATCTACTGTTATTTTGCTATTAATACACTCATCAGAAAAATGTTTCTTTTGAAATGTACATGTGAATGCACACTAATTTATGTAGGAATACATAAACAACCCCCTCTTCATAATGAAAATGTTGCCAGTCTTACTGAATTGAATATTAAACCTAATATTTCAGTTTCATTCATTTTCTTAACATTATTTTCTATTGATGGACATTTGAAACTAAAACTTCAGTTTAAGAAATATTAATTTTAAATGAATAAGACATTTTAATCGGCTATTTAAAATTTTAGATATGGTTCAATTAAATGACTGTAAAATAGTTGGTTGAAGACAAAATATGATTTGCTTATTAAAATCTTCCATGAGTGTGTGAATTTATCTAAACTATTAAGCTAATTTGTTGCTAGTCAGATAATTACGAGTCCTAGCCACTAAAAGTTAACGTTAACATGGTTTAGACCAGCCATAATTGTACAGTTTCATTCTGTCACTTGAAATAATGGGAATGCTGGCTATATTTGCATGTTATACAACTTTTCACATTCATTTCCTATCTACGTCAACTTGTAATCTTATACTTATTACTATACCTATAAATTATCCTATTTTTACCAACTGTCCTATTTTTAAGACTATTTAGAAAATGAGAAAACACTTTAATTTTCTGGCATTCATAATACACCTCTTGCAAATGTAAATAGAAAAATAGGTATACACATTTAAAGAGGAATATGTGATCTTATCTACTAAAACATTTTTATAGATTTATAATTTTATCCACATCTATATGAAATAGGCATTTTATCCATTCAAAGAGGAGGGCAATTTGCCCAACTCTAAATTATAAAATATTTAGTTTCTGAACTATGGAAAAATAATATTGTATTAAAACAATTTGCTTCTAGGAGCCCACAAAATAATCACTCAAAAGTCATAAATATTAGAACAATCTTTATATAATCAACTACCATTTAAAGAAATGATATGGTTTCATTGGAAATATTCTGAAATCCTCTAGAAATACTATTTGACCCAGCCATCCCATTACAGGGTATATACCCAAAGGATTTTAGATCATGCTGCTGTAAAGACACATGCACACATACGTTTATTGCATCACTGTTCACAGTAGCAAAGCTTGGAACCAACCCAGATGTCCATCAATGATAGACTGGATTAAGAAAATGTGGCACATATACACCATGGAATACTAGGCAGCCATAAAAAAGGATGAGTTCATGTCCTTTGTAGGGACATGGACGAAGCTGGAAACCATTATTCTGAGCAAACTATCACAAGGACAGAAAACCAAACACCGCATGTTCTCAGTCATAGGTGGGAACTGAACAGTTGGAGACAGGGTGGGGAATATGACATACCGGGGCCTGTGGTGGGTTGGGGGGAGGGGAAAGGGATAGCATCAGGAGATATACCTAATGTAAATGACAAGTTAATGGGTGCAGCACACCAACATGGCACATGTATACATATGTAACAAACCTGCCCCTTGTGCACATGTACTCTAGAACTTAAAGTATTTAAAAAAAGAAAAAGAAATCCTCATTTTTCAGCATGTATTTCCATATATTCTGAATAATAGCCAGGGAAAAGGTAAAATACCCTCCCTATCCTTTTCCCTGCGTTGTTTATCCTATTTACTCACTTTCTGTCCTTTGAATTGGGAAGAATGGATCCAGGGAAGATTTATGGCATGGATGGGGAGGAACTATGTAGTTTCTGAAGAAAGAGAAAGAAAATTCCTGAAGTAGAGAGAATGGAAACGTGTGAAAAAGAAGGTAGCAAGTAACTTGGGAGTCAGAAAAACGTGGCTGCAGGAGGACTCGGTACTGATTTTCTGCACAGTGCATAATAGGAAGTTCATTTTCTGTTTTTTGATGTTTATTTGTACTCATATGTTAATGGGGGAGAATTTTCCATTTTTACCCCCACAAATATCTAACACAGGCATCTATTTCTTCTATGGCCCAAACAGCTGTTCATCTCACAGTGGCCTAGGAAGTGAGCTGAAATAAACCTCTATTATTTGGTAGGAAGAAACTTTGTAAAAATTTCCCAAATGAGCCACAACAGCCGTTACAATGAGAGGCTTTCTCACTCTGTGTGGCTCCTGGGTGGAAATTGTCAGGGCTTCATCCTACCCCATCATTTATATGCTGTGTCACTTCAGTGAGTTCCGTCAACTTTCAATGTCAGTTTCATCATCCATAAAATGAAATAAAGATAGTTACCTCGAGTGGCTTGTTTGTAGAACTAAATTGCTTTTGTAAGTATATAAATGGGCGCATCATGAAATAAATATCAGTTTGGTGATACTAAAAAGAGATGAGGCACATGCCAAGGCTAAAAAATTGTTCACACTTTTTCCCTTGTGACATTTATCTCAATCATTAAATACTTATTTTAGAATATCTGAGTAAATAACAATAATCTTTTTCAAGGAACTATTGTAAAAACTATATGAGCAGCAAAAATATGATATAATGTAGGTGATATTTGAAATAGAGTTCTACCAAAGAGAAATGTGCAATGCTATTATTTAAATCAGATGTTTCTTCACCCAGTTTTCTCTCTAAGAACAATTTCATTCAACAGAGTTGAGATAAATGTGTTTATGTTAAATCATGTTTCTTTTTAAAGCATTTGATGTTTACAGTAAACTCTGTGGCATTGTTATGAAAAAAATAGAGGTAAATTACTCTTGCTTGAATACATGAGAAAGAAAATTGGAGGTAAATTATTCTTATTATAATAAGAAAACAATTTTTATAGGCCAGATTCAGTGGCTCACATTTGTAATCCCAGCACTTTGGGAAGCTGAGATGGGAGGATCTTTGAGGACAGGAGTTCAGGACCAGCCTGGGGAATATAGTGATACCCTGTCTTTGTAAAAAAAAATTAAATAAAAGTTAGCTGTGTGTGCTGACCTGTGCCTGTGGTCTCAGCTACTCAGGAGGCTGAGGCAGGAGGATTGATTGAGGCTGGGAGGTTGAGGCTGCAGTGAGCTATGATCTGACTGCTGCATTCCAGCCTGGGTGACAGAGTGAAACTGTGTCTCAAAATACTACTAATAATAATTTTTATAAAATAATTTAGGCTTGTTGCCTACTGTCTCCTTACACACTTTTATGCAATTATTTTTGTCAGATTGAATCTTCCTCTCAGTATAGAAAAGGTGTCATAATTTCTTCTACACTTTGAAAGGTGAGGAAATAAATTATGGAAATTGAATCTGGTTTATTTTACAATCTAGAAAGTGCTGACAAAATCTCAGGTGTTCATGAAGGAAAAGTGGTTTTGGAATTAGCTTATGGGTTGGGTTTCTATCTTTCCTAATTTGTAGAACAGATGATCAAATGATGTTGTCAGTTTGCTCACCTAGAAGTGGAAATAGGACATTTTTAAAAAACTATTCTGATTCTGAGAAAGAAAACCAAAAACTTCCAAATTGAGGTTTTTTTTTTTTCCTAGCATTGCATAAATGGGTATTAGAAAAAAGAGGATGTTCTGGTGTGAAAAACCACTTTGAAATTCCATCTCAGGCACACAGCACCACATGGGCACAGTCAATGAATTTCAGGACTTGAAAACTGACAGATCCTTTAAGTTTTAGGTTTTGTTTTGTGTTTTGAGACAGAGTCTTGTTCTGTCACCCAGGCTGGAGTACAGTGGCACAATCTCAGCTCACCGCAACTTCTGCCCACTGGGCTCAAGTGATTCTGATGCCTCAGTCTTCCGAGTAGCTGGGACCACAGGCGTGCACCACCACACCTGGCTAATTTTTGTATTTTTTGTAGAGATGAGGTTTCGCCATATTTCCCAGGCTGGCCTCAAACTCCTTGGCTCAAGGGATCCACCTACCTCAGCCTTCCAAAAGTGCTGGGATTACAGGTATGAGCCATGACTCCTGACCAAGTTTTAGTTTTAATCCATCCTCAAATTAGCTTATGTATATGTACATATATATGCAAATGTCTATATGTATATGTGCGTGTACATATGTGTGCAGATGTGTATGTGTGTGTATGTTTGTGTGTGTGTGATCCCTACTTACAAATGGCCAGGAGAGGAACCAACTTCCAATGTGTGTAGTGTCCACCCCCAGCCATACATATTTTGAGTGCCACAGCTGCTCTTTGATTCTAAGTCTCCCAGCTACACTGACTTCCAAATTCACACCCAGCTGTTTAATAACAGAAGGTACTTGGATTCACAGAAAGTCTTCCGTTTGCTCATCGAGAATAAACATGTTTTCTTCATTATAGAAAGAAGAAAAGCACATTGGATTTTTTTCTGGCTGCTGTGAGATATTACCACAAATGTAGTGGCATAGAAACCACAAAGATCTCACCTCATATTTCCACAGGTTGGAAGGCTGATGTTGGCTTCTAACCTGCAGATGGGTCTCCCTGAGCCGACCCCGTGGTGTTGAGGGGCCTGTGTTCTTTTCTGAAGGAGTCAGGGCAGTCTTCTGCAGGCTGCCAACATTCCTGAGCTTGTGGCCTTCTTTCTCCATCTTCAAAGCCAGCAAGGTTGCATCTCACTGACGATTTTTTAAATGACATGTCCCTCTGACCTGAGCCAGAAAAGGTTTTCAGCTTTTAAGAAATGTTATGACAACAGGGAACCCACACAGATAACTGCAAGTCATCTCACTTGCTCAAAATCCTTAACTCTCACACCTGTCAAATCCTCTCAGCAGGTAAGGAAACATAGTCACAGGTTCTGGGAATTACGATGCAGACATCTTTGGTGGAGGTAATCGTTCTCCTCCCACAACTGCAAAAAGAGATAAGGCCAACATCTCTCCTCACTCCAGGTGTCCACACAGTCCATGCCCCTTCTCCAGGACACCCTCTATTTCTCAGGTACCTGCATTTGATGTTTCAAGTTTCAGCTTCACTGCCCTCTTTTTCTAGGTATTTTCTGACGTTTGAATCCTCAGTTTTATTCTCTGTTCTATCACTATCATTTTCTCCCTTTGTAACACTTAGTTATTAAGTAAATATTTGAGTACTTGTTTGATTAGTGTGGTTCTCCCTCTTTCACTGAAAGTTTTATGAGTGTAGCTACAGGGTTGGTTGTATTCGAGAGGAAATTTACAATATCCACCATGATACTCAAAGAGATTGCAGGAAAGTAACCTTTTTTGAATGAATACAGGAGTAATTTGTCGAGGCTGATGTCCTGACAAATAGAGTTTTAAATTTTTAAGTATAAAAGTGCAAATTTGTTATTGAAGACCTAGTTTAAAACTTAGTTAAAACTTACGTAATGAAACATTTTGTACATTTCCACGACCTCTACATTCTTCCATTCTTGTGAAAAAGCTTAAGAATGAACTGTTAGAAGAAAAAAGTGTGCAGAATGATACATGAAGACATTAAAATGCCATATTGTAAGTGAGCTCTTGAAAAGCAAATAGGCAGATGCTTCATTTTTTTAAAGCATAATCAGTAACATGAATAAAATCTTAACTGAATTGTGAAGATAAGGCATAATTCATCAAATAGTCACATCTCATTTTGTTGCGTCATTATAAGAGTAATAATACTAACACAGCTGGTCATCCCACCCGTCCTAGAAATGGCTGATTGAAAGATGTTTTCTCTAGAAAAAAAAACTAACAAAAAAACAAAATTTACTCTTAAACTGAGAGGCAAGCATTAAGAGCCAACCCACAGCAGGACTGGGAGATTCCAATGTCCTCGTTTCTTCTCATCCAGAGTATAATCATCAAAATGCAAGTAGGATTCATTTTTGTTTTCTGTCTCAGGGTTTTTGTGGTTGGCTTGAATAAATGCTATTGAGCATGGCAAATGAATGCAGCGCCCCCCCCCCCCAAAATTTCCATGTATAATGGTCATCACTGTTAATTAGACACAATTAAGATCCTTCTATAAGGAGCACTGAAGAATTTGAACAGCAGTCGTGCAGGAGGTTAGGTACATAAACCTCCCTTCATAGACTCTCAAGAGTCCATGTATCCAATCATCATGTTTTTCAAACTATTTTTCCTAGCTCTTCATTTTCTCACATAGGTATAACACTTGAGTAAATTATAGAAATGAAAACTTTGGTCAAGGGTAAATAAAGGCTTATTTGTATTTTATATTTCAATTTTCTTCTACAGTTGTTGCATATCGTTTTCTGATTTTTTTTTTTTTTTTTTTTTTTTTTTTTTTTTTTTGTGGAGACAGAGTCTGGATCTCTTACCTAGGCCGGACGGCAGTGGCGCTATGTCGGCTCACTGCAAGCTCCGCCTCCCGTGTTCATGCCATTCTCCTGCCTCAGCCTCCTGAGTAGCTGGGACTACAGGCGCCCAGCGCCACCCCCGGCTAATTTTTTGTATTTTTAGTAGAGATGGGGTTTCACCGTGTTACCCAAGATGGTCTCGATCTCCTGACCTCGTGATCCGCCCGCCTCGGCCTCCCAAAGTGCTGGGATTACAGGCGTGAGCCACTGCGCCCGGCCCTGAATTTTTTTACTTACAACCATACTCACCAGTATTTTCTTTGTGCCATGTATTGGATCACCTCCTCTGCATACACAACAGTACTTAATCCTTACAGTAGTCATTTTAATTCTACAAAGGTATCTGTAATTGATATGCAAAGTCACTGATTCTCTGAAAGGTAAGACATTGGCCCAAGGTTATCTAGGTAGAAAGTAGTGAATGGTGTTTGAATTCGTCTCTGTAGTATCTCATGATGCCTTCCACACTGATATGAACGGCGCTGTGGAGAAAAAGTAAACTAATAAGACAACTTTCTGACATTTAGTTATGGAGATTAGAAAAGACATGAATGCATATACTTTAAACTAGCTTAGCGTTTCTTAAAGATGTGTTATTATTATTATCATCATTATTTTGAGACAGGGTTTCACTTTGTCACTCAGGCGAGAGTGCAGTGGCCTAACAATAGTTCACTGAAGCCTCCGTCTCCATTAACAAATCCTCCCATCTCAGTCGCCAGAGTAGTTGGGACTACAGATACACACAACCATGTCTGGCTAGTTTTTTAATTGTTATGTTTTGTAGAGGTGCGGTCTTCCTACCTTGCCCAGGGTGGTCTTGAACTCTTAGTCTCAAGAAATCCTCCCACCTCAGCCTACAAAGTGCTGGGATTTCAGGCATGAGCCTCCAGGCCCGCCAAGATTTATAATTATATAAGGATAGCACAGCAGGCATTTATATTAATATACATTTCTAAATAATTTCTCATTTTTTACCTAAGTGATTATCTCTGAGATTCAACTTTGTCACTTAAACCATAAGAGTGTTGAGTAGACGGCTGTGGGGTTATTCTTTTAAATCAAATTTTCATTAATTTTTTTCTGCTTTTTAAAGTTGTATTTCTTTTAAAAAATCATGCTTTGCTAAGCAGACTCTAAACACAGCATACCATATCTAAGTGACACTCTAAGCATAATTAACAAAAAAATTATCCTCTGAAAAAAGGTAATTATCATCAGTGTATTGAATAGAGGAATTGTTTTGAAATGCTGGCCAGAATTTCATAACATAACATTTAACTGGATTTTGTCCAGGTAGTTAAAAAGGAGCTTTTGCAATTTCAGACTATAATGTTAAAGGAAGGAAATCTCATTCAGTTGTTATAATCTCAAATAACTTATTACATAAAAATATAAAGAGGATGATTTGTTGATAGAGCTAATCATTCAGGATTTTATGGCACCTCAACATAATTTTCAACAAGTCCAGGGCCCTTGAACTTTTAATAGTCACCATTATTTATTTCATTCAGGTCTTTTTTTCTACATTGGTTGAAACTCCTTGTAACCGTACTTCACCACAAAATGTATGACTTGTCTTCCACTAAGGGCCTAAAAATATTGTCATGGTAAGCCCTTGTAAAGGAAGAGTTTTGTTGCTGCTGTTATCTAGTGGAAACCTACAAAAGTCATCCGATTTTCTATCTAAACAGCATGTTATCCTTGAGTCTTCAGTTTTTGAAAATATTTTAAGAGGATCAAAGCATCTGATCCCTGAGAAATGGCACTGGATTAACAATATTAAATCTGGACTGCCTTGCCTGTCCAGCCTCATACACTGAGCTTGGGTTGAAGTCTTTATTTATGCAAAGCAAAATGCAAGGCGTTGAGGAGGAATCAAAGATAAATTGGTTTGTCTGTTGTCCGGTAGCTCCTTTGGTAGCCGAGAGGATTCAATACTGATGATCGCTTATATTTAAATGAAAATTGACATTTTACACCATATTCCTATTTGCCTTTTTAATTGGAGTTTCTCAGGAAACTGAGATGCAATAGACTTACATGACTTGACAGCTAATGCCAGCACCAAATCCATTCTTTTCACTCCACCACACTATGCATCTTTATTAAAGCATCTATGTGCTTTAGAGGTAGACTTCAGATACAGACCTCAAACTATGAAAAAGCACCCATACACTGCCTGCATATCAATGACCATAGCAGAAGATGTATGAATTTAGCGTGTTCACACTATAGGCTAGGTCTAACCTCAAGAGGATATTTGGTATTGTATTTTTTAATGTTTCTGAAAGTAGGATCATCCCCAGTGCTGTGCTGGATACGTTCTGCAGTCTCATACAAATATATGAGAACTTTACGGACAGCAGAAGCTCAGGGTGAGCTGGGCGCTGGCTCTACTACCTCAGGGGTTTTGCCAGACTGCAGAGGATGAGAGCTCACTGTACATAGGGGATTGAAAGTGAACTTTGCTCATTTGCAAAGGATTACAGGAGGAAATGAGCAACAGTACTGTCTTAAAAAAAGATAAATACACACACGGAAATACAAAAAAAACCTGCGTGGAAGGAAAGTAAAAATAGTTTTAATTAAATTAAAAGGAAGGGGAAATACGTGATATTGTTGCGCTGTCTCTCCTGAGATGGTACTTTAACTTTTTGTGCCATGACCTCTGTTAATCTAGTAAAGTCGATGAACTCTTAGAATAGTATTTCAAAATTCACATAGAAAGTATAGATTACAAAGAAAACCAATTATATTAAAATACACTTAGTATCCATGTAGTCCTTGGGGTTTTACCAGCCCCATCTGGAAAAGGCAAGCTATGTTGATAATGGGACATTATCCATCGATCTATATGCTTAAAGACTCATTACGTTAAAATCAAAGGCGCTGAAAAATTCCTTGTGCACGTTCCTGAAAGTGTCATATTTCTAGACACTTTCTTTCTCATCCCCCAAATCCATCCTAGTGATTTCTTTCTCATCCTCTAGTGATTTCTTTCTCATCCCCCAAATCCATATTTTACCTAACCACCACAGGTATGGCTTATCTATATTGCCAATCTGAAAATTCTGAAAAGTCTCTGTCCATCACAGTGTAGGACAAAGTTCAGGCTCCTGGCTTAGCACACAGGTCCACCATGACGTACTCTTGTCGGGCTTGCCAGCCCCTGCTGCCACTTCTCTGGGGTTTACCTTCTGTGCTTCTGTAATAATGAGTTGAGGATAACTTAATGGGATGTGGTGCTCCGCACCTCTTTGTATTTGCTACCTTGGACTCTCTGCTTGGAATGACTCCCCTGATCATGCTTCGGGACTGCTGATCATCATTTAAGACTCAACTCAAAGAACCTTCTCCCGTAAAACTTACCTTAACTCAGACTCCCAGACTTCCCTCGCTTTGCGCTTTGATAATCGCTGAGCATAAATACTTCTTCATTGCTGCAGTCTGTGCCCCCAACTCTTAAGGAAAGATAGCATGTTTTATTCATTACTTTATTCCCAGAGTCAAGCCAATGAATAGAAGACAATGTGTACAGAATTACTAAATGAATGAATAGATGAAATGGATGAAGCTTTTTTTCTTCTTAACTTTTAGATGGAGTCTTACTCTGTTGCCCAGGCTGGAGTGTGGTAGCATTATCTTGGCTCACTGCAACCTCTGCCTCCTGGGTTCAAGCAATCCTCCCATATCAGCCTCCCAAGTAGCTGGGATTACAAGAACGCACCACCATGCCCAGCTAATTTTTGTATTTTTAGTAGAGACAGAGCTTCACTATGTTGGCCAAGCTGGCCTCAAACTCCTGGCCTCAAATGATCCACCTGCCTCGGCCTCCCAAAATGCTGGGATTTCAGGCATGAGCCACCATGTCCAGCTGGAAGATGATTTTTATTAGCCAGGGCTCTCCAAAGAAATAGAACCAGTGTTTTAGTTGGAAGACCATCAGGCAAGGGAACTCTGTCTTACTTGACAGAGAGTCAGTTTTCCATCTACTGAGGCCTTCAAGTGATGAAACGGGGCCCACCTACATTACAGAAGGAAATCTGCTTTACTCATTCTACCAAATGAAATGTTCATCTTATGTAAAAACACCACCACAGACACACCCACAATAATGTCTGACCAAATATCTGGGCATCCTATGGCCAAGTCAGGTTGTTGTATAACATTACCCATCATAATACTTAATGCCTAATACTTCTCAATTTGAAAATCTATCTGGTTATACGAAATTATCTGTGAATAACTCAGAATTCATGATGCTCTTACTGGAAAATGCTAGGACTTTTATACACATTTTTTGACCGTAGGAGAACAGGTGATAACCTTGTTGTAGTTTGTCTGGGAACTGCTTGAGGACACACTTTGCATTGTCTTCATCTTGATGTTTCATTTCCCATAGAACACAAGCTCTCAGTGAATAATTGTTAAATTTAACAGAAAAGGAAATATTTTCACATTAAAAAATAGAAAGCGTAGAATAGATATTGTGAGGGGCGGTGAGGCTCAAATGACTAAAATTGGAGCAAAGAACAAACAAATTTTAACATGAACAAACTCTTAGAAATGTGGGAATTTAATGAAGATGGCGGAACTTTCACTATATGTTTTCTATGAAGGCATGTGCAGGCTAAATATCACCCCCAGTGTGTTCATTCCTTAATCCCTGGAGCCTGTGAATAGGTTGCTTTATGGGAAAAAGGGGTTTACAGATAAGATAAAGGGTCTTGAGATAGAGACCATCCTAATTACCCTGGTGGACCTATTCTAGCTATGTGAACTCTTAAAAGCAGTAGAAAGAGGCAGAAGAATGGGTCACAAAGATTCAATGAGGACTGGACCCAGCATTGCTGGCCTTGAAGATTCACAAAGAAGGCTATGACCCCAGAGAATGTGGTAGTCTTTTGAGGCTAAAAATGAATGACTCACAGTTTACAGCCAGCAAGGAAATGGGAATGTGGGCCCCATAAATGTAACAAACTGGATTCTAAAAGCACCTGAATCGGCATTGGACAGATTTTCCCTAAGAGGCTTCAGAAAGGACTGTAGCCTGAAAACGCCTTGATTTTTGTCTAGTGAGGCCTGTATTGAATTTCAGACCTACAGAACTAAAAGTAAGACTGTATTCTCTTAAGCCGCTCTATTTGTAGTAATGTACGGCAGCGATAGAACAAATGAGCGCTCTGTAAACTCAATGACCACAAAAGAGTGGCTTGACACAGCAGACGTTTATTTTTATTATTTATTTATTTATTTATTTTTGAAACGGAGTCTTGCTCCGTCGCCCAGGCTGGAGTGCAGTGGCGCGATCTCGGCTCCCTGCAAGCTCCACTTCCCGGGTTCAAGCCATTCTCCTGCCTCAGTCTCCCCAGCAGCTGGGACTACAGGCGCCCGTCACCACGCCCGGCTAATTTTTTGTATTTTCAGTAGAGACGAGGTTTCACTGTGTTAGCCAGGATGGTCTCGATCGCATGACCTCATGATCCGCTCACCTCGGTGCCCCAAAGTGTTGGGATTACAGGCGTGAGCCACCGCGCCCGGCCTGGCATTTTTTATCTCATAGTTTTCTCGGGGTGGGACTGTGCTGAGTCCTCTGCCGTAAGTCTCGCATGCTATGATCAAGGCGTTAATTCCACTGCCTCCTCATCTACAGGCTTGAGGGCAGGACTGTGCATCCAAGCTCATTCAGGTTGTGTGCAGAATCCACTACCTCCTGGCATGAGCACGGAGAGCCCCGACGTTTTGCTGTCTGGGGGCCATTTCCACAATTTCTCCCTGCGTGGAATTCTTCAACACAGCCTCTGCTTCATCATGCCTAGAAGGAGCATCGATAACTCCATCCAGGCAAGATGCAGCCTTATATAATATCACACAGTCATGACAGTGACAACGCTCACCTCTACCATATACTATTGGTCAGACGCACATCACAAGTCTTTCTCACAGTCAAGAGCAGGGGATCATACAGAGATGTGAACAACAGAGGGTGAGACTCACGAGGAGCACATTAAGGCTGTACTGCCACACTCGTCTTTTTTAAATCATGACACAGTCTTGCATCGGTGGGTCAAACAGATTTTATAATTTTAAAAAATGTTATAGAAGATCCAATTTGTTAGGGTGATTTGTTAACTTATCCTGTTCTATAGAATTTGCCTTTTCTGCCTATTAATATTATGATTGTGGAACTGCCTGGGTGAAAGAGCAAGACCCTGTCTCTTAAAAAACAAATTAAAAAATCTGCCTGAAATCGAATGTATGCACCCAAGGTTTTAGTTTATTTTCCATTGACAAGTCAGTGTACACACATGTTCTGGATAGAACTGTCATCAAAGTAGAATTTTTCCTTTAAAATGTTTCATCTGGTTTCTGTTTCCAATTTCATGGGCAGAATTCTAGGCGTAACAGCTGAATACTGCTTTGTAATTTTTAAATTGTAGATAGTGAAAAAAGTTACAATGTGAAGAGATGGAAAATTCCCAGATGAAAGAAAGCTAGATAGTCCATTCTCATATTCATTTTCACCCGGGGACTAATCACCTCTTCTACTGTGATCTCCCATTAAATTAGAACTAACAGTTCTAATTATGTGGCTGACCAATGAAAATGGGTATAATACAGTGGGAGATCCTGAAACAAACTTTTTTTTTTCTTTGCAGAACTCATAGTGACCAAAGAGTCTCATGAAGGTTGTGAATGTTTTATATGTGTTAAAAAAAATGTTTATTTAAATAATGAAATCTGTTAAGCATAATTTGAAGAACTTTGGCAAATGGCTTTGTGTTGTATGATCCTTTTCCCCATTTTATTAAATGTTTTTATTTTCCTTGCAAGAAAATGTGGGAGATGTATGATTACTCTGTTAGCAAATTAATGTCAAAGGGGAAACAAAAGAAAATGGCGTACTTTTTATTTGCTGTTGCCAACATTATAATAAAAATAGTTGTTGAGATGCTTCCTGGCATTATTTACATGATAATCACTATTTATTAGAAAAGTGACAGGGCGCTATTGTAATTCAGGCCTTTGTCACCATTTATTGTTAGATATTTTACAAGCTATTTGGAGTGTCCATTGTTTCATGACTGATGCCAATGTGAGCAATATCAACATGGCAAATTAGGTCTGTGGTTTTCTCCTGAAGCTTCTAAATCCCATCCTATAGGAATGACTTGGGAACATTTTATATTATTCCTTCATTATAATTTCTAAATTCACTCCTCATTTGGTGTTAAAAGCAGCAGTGTTGATTGCTGGACGAAAGAAATTTAGTAGTGTCAGGTATGACATGTACAGACTTGATAGGGCAATATTTTAATTGTTTTCTTGGTCATTTTTATCATTCTGCATTCTTTGTTGAACGTATGCCTACCATAACATTTACAGTAGATTGAAATTGTTAATATATTTTTTGTATATGAAAGTTACTATAATTTTAATATCATGCCTTAAATATCAAAAACATTATGAAGGGGATATATAGTAATCATAGAACATTTACTTAGGAAAGAATATAAATTACCTGCAGCCCCACCTCCCACCATTAAACATTGTACTTTCTCCTGCCGCTTTCCTTCGTGGAGGTGGCCAGTTCTGCTGAGGCTTCTCGGTGCTGAAGAATGAATGGGAAACACGGCTGAACTGTATTCTGTTTTCCTGCTCTTCTCGCCATAGCATCCTTCGATGTCATCCCTGTCCGATTCCATAACTTGCCAGCCAAAATCACTTGTTAAACATTCTCCTGTGGAGACGTGGTTCCTGCGCCTTGAAATGCCGATTTTTATCTTTGTTGAGCTGTGGTTTGCCGTGTTTGGGTAAATACTAAACACTGGGCCTCCCTTGACAGCACACTCATTGGCTCCTCAGAGGGCCCGGTGGGACCCTCATCCTCTGCCTCTTTCATTTGTTTTCCCACAGCCTCTTGTGACTCAGACCTCTTCAGCCAGTCCTTGGGTAATATCAGCAAGACTGAAGCCATCGTCACCTTCCCTAATGTCCATCATTCCATCCAGGGAAAACATGACCTGGCATGGGTACCTGGATGTGAACAGAGAAGCAAACAGACTTGGAAGCCCAGGAATATTCATTTTGATACTCAGTACATTTAAACTGGCAGTATATATTGAGTATTTTTTTTATTGGAGGACGTTCTTTGAAAGCAAGGTTTTCATTATGGGCATGGTATTTTAATACACGTGTGATGCAACGTATTTTCACAATACCCTGTCGTTAAGGTTTTACGTTTGTGGCAGCTACAACTTTGCTTTCAGCCCTGCTTATGACTCCAAAGAGCTGAGGTTAAATGCATGGTACTGGGCAACTTATCTTTTACAGATGTCTTTCCTGAAAGCTCAGAGAATTCAAAGTAAATTTAAGGCACATGTCACTGCTCAAAAGATGTATTTCAAATAAGATAAATACATAATGACATTAACTTAAGATATTCCAAGATCAGTTCCTGAGTTACAAAGATATGATTGCATTTGATTTGCAAAACACTCAAATATTATGAAAATAGGAAGGGTAGCACCACGTACAGAAAATACTCTTAGGTAAAGTGAGTATGTCCTTAAAGGTGTGACTTATGGAATCAAGTTCCTAGAAGGACAGAATACAGGAACATGAGTGATCTTGGGCTTAATAGCGTTTACCACAAGTAATGAGTGAGGAGGTTGTGTTTGAGCCTGAAACAAATGGAAATTCTTGAAAATGGAAATGATAGAAGTCACTAAAGTGCAAATACATAGACAATTCCTCATACCCGACATGTTGGTGAGCAATACAGATTTAAGATTTAAGTGCAGATTTAAGGTTTTTCTCACTCTGATCCCTGAGCAAATATGCCCTCTGCTGTGGCCCAACCTGTTCTCATTATAGGGCAAAGCTGATGAAGAGTAAAATACCCACTAGCTGGTGCTGATGTAGATAAAAGCCCCTGTTGCTGAAAGGTCAGGGGGTATTGTCTTAAACGGGCTTTAGTTTATGTGGTGGTCAACATCAGTGCTACCGAGATTCACGGAGAGCCACACAGAGGAAGGTATAATTCTGATGGTGGCCTCTTGATGTTCCAGGCACAACTTAGCCAAAGAGAGCAAGAGAAAGAGTCTCTAAGACATCCAAGAACTGCTGATTATAGCTCCTCCTGAAGCTTGATGGGACAATGTAATTGCATACTTTATGAAACTATTAAAATTATTATCTAGACAGTCATCTAATTTATAATCCTAACGAACTATATTTTGTTAACATTCAATCATCTTTGCTGTTTTAACTTTGATTTTTAAAGCCATCTGTTGAGCCTTTATAACATGCCTATTGGTGCACTGGAGTGAAGACGCGTCATATTTGCAATGCAGATGATCCTTCTCCTTCCCACGTTTTTGGTTTTCTGTTTGTCTGTAATGGCTATTGAGATGAAAACACAAATACTTTTGTTGCAGGAGAATTGGCAACAGCGGGAAGCTTGCATATTTCGAGTGAAATCCTTAGGGACGTGTTCCTCTACGGGTGTTTTGCCTGTGGGTGCAGTTGGTTTAAGGGAGCTGAATTGTGCTAATGCTCACTTTCTTTCCTCATCTTTGAATTGTTGTCAAATTTTGATGTTGCTGAGGTCTGGAAACTGACTGTTGATTTTGCTGACTCATATTGTAAATCATTCGATAGGAGATGAAGTCAATTCAACCTTAACCACAGGATGAACTGAACCACCATTTTTTTTTTTTTTTTTTGGAATGACCTTCCCTTTTTTCAGTGGAAGGAGAGTATATATATTTGGTAAAGGCACAAAGAACTGAAATCAATCTGATGAATTTTACATATGGCTTTTCATTTTCTTTCAATGTATCTTGTAGTTTTCTTTCAACATAGAAAGCTTAAACAGCTGAAGAACAGTGATTCATGGATGAAGTACAAGCATTTTCAGTTGTAGTTCAGATGAGACACATGTTTTAGTGACCTCCACTTCACCAGTATCTTGCAGACAAGTAAGAACAATGCTTTTAGTTCTATCTTGTTCAATTTTTTTTAGTTTGTTTTTTGTGTTTTTTGTTTTGTTTTGTTTTGTTTTTTGTTTTTTCTGAGACAGAGTCTTGCTCTGTTGCCCAGGCTGGAGTGCAGTGGCGCGATCTCTGCTCACTGCAGGCTCTGCCTCCCGGGTTCACGCCATTCTCCTGCCTCAGCCTCCCGAGTAGCTGGGACTACAGGTGCCTGCCACCATGCCCTGCTAATTTTTTGTGTTTTTAGTACAGATGGGGTTTCACCATGTTAGCCGGGATGGTCTCAATCTCCTGACGTCGTGATCCACCTGCCTCGGCCTCCCAAAGTGCTGGGATTACAGGCATGAGCTACCTCGCCTGGCCTTGTTGAATTTTTTTCAACTTTTATTTTATTTTAATCCATGTGTATCTTAGTTACATAGGTAAACTGGTGTCATGGGGGTTTGTTGCACAGATGACTTCATCACTCAAGTACTAAGTCTAGTATCCATTTGTCCTGATCCTCTCCCTTCCCCGCCCCCCCCACTCTCCACTGAGCCGCAGTTTGTGTCGTTCACCTATGTGTACCCATGTGTTCTCACAATTTAGCTCCCTCTTAGAAGTCAGATCATGTGGTATTTGGTTTTCTGTTCCTGCATCAGTTTGCGAAGGGTAATGGCCCCCAGCTCCATCCATGTCCCTGCAGAGGACATGCTCTCATTTTATAATGGCCGCATAGTACTGTTTAATTAGTTATATCCATTCATGTGATTTCAGATGATTTTCTGTAAAATGTTTGTTAATTCATAATGAAAAATCTATCTGGTTATATAGTCAAAGATTTCAGTCTCATTACAACACTAATATTATTCTTTAACCCCTTTGAGCTTCCATTCCACATCGTTATAAACATGGGAATAGATCATCAGAGTCTCTTTCAGTTAAAAAAAAAAAAGCTTATATGTGTATGTAAAATTTTAATTTGTATTCCTGATTGTATTATTTTACTTGGTTAACTTACGAAATACTCTAATAGTGTTAGGCTCTGATTATTCTAAGCAATTCACATTAATGAGCGTTAATCATTAAATGTCATAACCATTCTGTCAAGTAGTGGCTGCTTCATTGGTGAGGAAACTGAGGCTGTTAGAAGTTAACTGGCCCCTAACTTCAGTGATAGGGCTTAGATGTAAGTAAAACTAGACCAGACCCAGAGTCTCTGCTTTTTTTTTTTTTTTTTTTTTTGGAGACGGAGTTTGTTGCCCAGGCTGGAGGGCAGTGACTCGATCTCAGCTCACTGCAAGCTCCACCTCCCAGGTTCACGCCATTCTCTTGCCTCAGCCTCCTGAGTAGCTGGGACCACAGGCACCTGCCACCACGCCCGGCTCATTTTTTGTATTTTTTAGTAGAGATGGGGTTTCACCATGTTAGCCAGGATGGTCTCGATCTCCTGACCTCGTGTTCTACCTGCCTTGGCCTCCCAAAGTGCTGGGATTTCAGGCGTGAGCCACCACACCTGGCGAGTCTCTGCTTTTAAGCACTACACTATGCTCTCTGCTTTTTAGAAAAAAAAAATATGCAAAAGAGTACAGATTTTCAATGGCTTAGAAATGATTCAAGGCTATGTATTACGTACCACAAAAAATATTAATATGTTAAAAAGCTGTGCTCTTTGAATCCACTTTACCTTAATATATGGCAACAAGATAAAATTATCCTTTGTGTGCCTGTTTAATCTTCATAATTTATCAAGATTTCTAATGTCAAAAGTATTAATTAGAATACAAATGAAAAATTAATTCTCAACACTCTTTCCGTTCAAATGCATTCCATGATAAATAAGGGTTTAGAACATCAGTAGAAGGGTCTTTGCTAGGGGTCTTTGCCATTTTCCAAAAACTAATCAACTAACATAGTATCATGCATATATCAACATTTTGGAGGGATAATTGATGGTAACCATAAAGTTGATTGATCTTTAATATATGTTTATACAATTAATAGCTCTCTGTCTAGCGGAAAAATTTTGTTTTTCTTTTCTGCAAACATACTTTGCTGGACTACTGTTTTTTTCTTATTTTCTAATAACAAAGGCAAACTTTTAGGTAGAGTTAGAATATTCATGGCTTATTAATATTATTTATTATCATTATTCCTAATAAACACAGTTGGCACCAGGCTTCATCTTGATTTACTCAACATGTTTTCTTGAGTAAAGAGATAGGAAGTGTTTCTCTACAGATGGGCAAAGGTGGGCTTAGATCTGTTATGGGTCCTGGGGCATAAACACACATGAGTTTGCATAGCTGGGCACTTACGTGCTGTGTGTGCACCTTCTGTGAACTCAGAGATGACTCACAAACTTGGTTTACAGGGCATGTTTGAGTAAACCAAAACGTGAATGTCATGTATTTTCATTACTAGATAATTAACTTTCACTCTTATAACAAATAAAACCTGGGCTTTCAGTGGCTTTGCCCAGTAACCGTGTATTTCTGTTTACATCACAGTCCAACATTAGGTCTGGGTCCCCTCAACACAGGGCTCTAATATCTGAGTAAACCATGGAGGGAGAAACCCAGCAGCTATGCCAACCCCGTGTGTTTCATCAGGCAGATCCATAGACCCAATAACAAATGCAGAAACATTTCGTTTTTTTTTTTAATATCCCTCCCAATTACCATCCTCCCCCATAATATTCATCCTGGAGTTTCTTTATCTTCTTTCCTACTAAAAATCTGTGTATCTTTCTTTTCTAGACATTACTCAAAAATTGTTTATTATGTTTTTATTTACACTTCCTCTTTTTTATAAAGGTTAAAAGACTAGACTGTTTTATGAGAGTTTTCATTTTTCCGATAGATAAAAGGCGGGAATCTTACTCACAGAATCTTAAGCTTGCAGTGAACTGTAGGGCGCGTCAGTTGACAGTGTCTACCTCATACTGCCTGAATTCCTAAAGACAGCCTCAAATAAACTATTTGCAAGTCATCTTTTGTGACCAGGTTTAACCATGGTTGATGGACCCTTTTCCAAAATAAAGTTTCTCAGGCTGGATTTCAGGACTTGTATCTGCCGAAATAATCTGAGGCAATATACGAATGTTTCCTGTGTTGTTTGCTATTATGCAGAATGAATGAAGGCACCTCGGTTTGCATTGTCTTTCATTTGGTCCAGAAAACCACGTGAGCGATTTGACAACCGGGGGACATTGACCGACGTCTAGGGCAAGCGTGGCCTCCAAAAGTGCGCTGTTTTCTGGGTCCTCAGAGTCAAATTTTACATCATGTAAAATTGTCCCTTCCTGCCAAAATCATCGTTAGAAGAATGACGTGCAATTTAAATACGTTAGGATGTGTGTGGCAGTACCTTAAAACCTATGTTTTTAATTACATGTCGTGCATCCTGCCAGCAGTCACTTTTCTATTTGTTTTAAATCACCTATGACTAGGACGAAGTTTGCACTGTCTTAGGTCTTTTTTTAAAAAAAGGTATTGGCTTTTTAGGAGATAAACGCAGGGGAATTAAAAATACCCATGGTAGTATCTACCACTTGTAATAGGGACTGTTTTGTATTTTATTAACAACAAATGCATGATATCATGCCAGTGCTGCCATGGCCTGAGAGAATAAAAGTATAAAACTGCCTATGAAATAGTCTCAGCAAGTCATCTGAAACTGTGATTTTGGAAAATAATAATAATACCTGCCTATTTTACTATATGGTGAGAGTGAAATATATTTCTCTGAGTGTTCATTTATGGTGCCTTAATGTACACTAACTAGAATAAACTTCCTGAATGCTTTTTTTTTTTTTTTTTTGAGACGGAGTTTCACTCTTGTTGCCCAGGCTGGAGTGCAGTGATGCAATCTCGGCTCACTGCAACCTCCACATCCTGGGTTCAAGCGATTCTCCTACATTAGCCTCCTGGGTTCAGGCGATTCTCCTACCTGAGTCTCCCAAGTAGCTGGGATTACAGGCATGTGCCACCACCCAGGCTGATTTTTTGTATTTTTAGTAGCGACGGGGTTTCACCATGTTGATCAGGCTGGTCTCTTCCTGACCTCAGGTGATCTGCCTGCCTTGGCCTCCCAAAGTGCTGGGATTATAGGCATCAGCCACCGTGCCTGGCCCAAATGCTACTTAATGCTTACCTGTGTCAGTTAAAACCATTGCATCCTAGTGGGTTGTCCTTTCCTATGACTGAAAGAGCATCAGTATTCCCTAAAAGTCATTTTAAGTCTCTGCCATAAGCACATGTTAAAGTTCCATATTATTTTTTCTCTGAACAGAATCCAACAATGTCCCAGATTGTTTTAAAGCAACTTATTTTTAATACTACAAGCAGTAAATCAATATGTTTTAACAGAGTGGAGACTTGGTGAAATTCTTCAGAATTTTAAGGGACCTTAGAGATAATGTTTGTTTCAATTTGAGCAAACATTTATATGGGCATTAAAACTGTTCTATAAAGGAAGAAGAACACTTGTTATTTTATTTTTATTTATATTTTTTTGAGACAGAATCTTGCTGTGTCACCCAGGCTAGAGTGCAGCTCACTGCAATCTCTGCCTCGTGGGTTCAGGTGATTCTCCTGCCTCAGCCTCCCGAGTAGCTGGGACTACAGGCACTCAACACCACGCCCGGCTGATTTTTTTTTTTTCTGTATTTTTAGTAGAGACGGGGTGTCACCATGTAGACCAGGCTGGTCTTGAACTCCTGACCTCAAGTGATCCACCCGCCTCAGCTTCCCAAATTGCTGGGATTACAGGTGTGAGCGACCGTACGCCGCTGAAAAAAATATTTAGTCTTAATAGAAAACAAATATACTGATTTTGGGGAAATAGAGGCATCTAAAAATAATAGCCTCTTAGCCCCTGGAAGATTGAGAGAGGGGCTGATTTGACATTAGCAATGCTGAGACCCTTCCTATTATTTCGTCTTTTATATTCGTATAATGCTGTGAAGTCACCAGTTTTCAAAATAAGTAATTAAATTCCATCTTATTTATTTATTTATTTTCCTTATTAGCATCCTTATTTTACAAGGTGGAAACCTGGGCTCTGTAAACTTACTCTCAGTGTGTCAGGGACTGGACTGTCTTGGGGTGAGCAGAGATGCTGCATTCAACACGAAGATAGGAATCAGCCCAGGGCTGGGCCATGAGGAGTCCCAGTTGGAAAGCTGACTGCCCCCAACCTTGAACACGGGCCTCCTTCTCTTGTAATTTTACACTTTCCCCTCTGCTGCAGTGAGTATGGCAACACAGTTTGGCCGTCCTGAGCTTCCAGTGTTCCACAATGTTCTCTGGAACATTCAGGGCACCTTGACTGCTTCTCATATGCTCCAGTGGCCTCTGGATGCCAAATCGTTGGTGACAGCCTGGCATGGCCCAATCAAAGAGGGTGCCTCCTCTAACAGCTGCGTCTTCCACACGTGCAGAATCCAGGCCCACCCAGGCACTATGTACCTAGGGATTTGTATGTATCAGATCATAACAAAACATAGGTGGACTTGTTAAGAATGATTTCTGTATTCCACCGTAGACCTTAAGCTGAAAGTATTGCAGGGAAATGAACTCAACGTAATAACAGTTTACAAACAGGAAAGCCGTGATCTTAGTACTCAGGCCTACAAGAACGGTTGCTCTGTTCATTGCATGCTTATGCAGGGCACTTTCTGACTCTGGCACTGGGTCTGCCACTCATCTTACACATTTCCACTGGTAGGGGATATTTTATCTCAAAATGATAGCTCTTCAAAGGCATGAGTCTATCTGACGAACATATTTCAGTACATGTCTTCAAACTAGACATTCATTGGGCATTTACGTGACTATGTTAAAATGTGTCACTTTTTACATTAGCTATTTAAATAACGTGCAATTTCATAAATCAGCACATTTACTAGATAGGTAGGATACTTTTGATCCATTTGTGTGTTAAAAAATTAGCGCATGTTTCTCTTTATGCCCACTTGTATTAGCAGAATAGTGTTTTCGGATTCCCTGAATGGATCTGTATTGAGTCTGTATGGTGTATGCTGTTTTTAAAATCATTATTTATCAAGCTCACACGTGTATGTTTATTGCTTAGGGGTACTATTCTGGGTACTTTAAAAGCCCTGTCCAATTTAATCTTCATAGTAAACCTGTGACAAAACTATTGTGAGCCCTTTTTAAGACAGGGTCCCTAAAACAAAAAGATTAAACAATTTGCCCAAGATCATGACGAATTGCAAGGGGTAGGGCCAGGATTCAAAGGCAAGAAAGCAGGTTCCCAGCCTGTACTCATTTTTGCATTTTTGTGTTTCTTTTTGGTTTTTTCTTCGTTTGCTTTTTTTTTTTTTTTTTTTTTTTTGAGGCAAAATTTCACTCAGGTGCCCAGGCTGGAGTGCAGTGGTGCGATCTTGGCTCACTGCAACCTCTGCCTCCCAGGCTCTAGCCATTCTCCTGCCTCAGCCTCCCAAGTAGCTGGGATTAAAGGCACCCACCACCAGGCCCAGCTAATTTTTGTATTTTTTAATAGAGATGGGGTTTCACCACATTGGGGAGGCTGGTCTTGAACTCCTGACCTCAGGTGATCCACCCAGAGGCTGGTCTTGAACTCCTGACCTCAGGTGATCCACCCACCTTGGCCTCCGAAAGTGTTGGGGTATTTTAAATTCAGGGGTACATGTGCATGTTTCCTATATAAGTAAACCTGTGTCACAGGTTGTGGTACAGATTATTTCATCACCCAGGTATTAAGCCCAGTACCCATTAGTTATTTTTCACGGTCCCCTCCCTCCTCCCACCTTCCAACCTCTGGTGTCTGTTGTTTCCCTCTTTGTGTCCATCTGTCTTCCTTTAGCTCCAACTTATAAATGAGAACATTTGATTTTTTTTTTCCTGTGTTAGTTTGCTAAAGATAATGGTCTACAGCTCCATCCATGCTCATGCAAAGGACATAATCTTGTCCTTTTTTATGGCTGCATAGTATTCCATGGTGTATACATGCCACATTTTCTTTATCCAGTCTGCCATTGGTGGCCTTTGAGGTTGATTTCATGCCTTTGATATTGTGAATAGTGCCGCAAGGAACATCCTCATATGCTCCAGATTATTAGAATTGGAAATAGCTAGTTTTCAGGGAGCACAGTTCCAGTGTTGATGACTAATGACTTGTCTAAAACTCATGTTTAAGAGTTAGCCTCAGCCATTAATTCCTGAATAGCGTTAGATTATAAATGAGCATATGGGCTGTGCTGAATGCTAAATAAATATATTGTCTCTGCTTACAGTTATACTCTTAGGCTCAGACTGACACAGATTTAATATAACATTTCCATTGCTTTTTCTTTCATAGTTATGCATTTATATATTTTAATGAAGTTTTAGAAATTATAGTTAACATTCCTAAAATGTAGTTTTCAGAGGGAAGGTGGCTAATTATTGCAGGGTAGATAATAACAGAATTTGCCATCATTATCAGCAAACATTAACTGTACCCTTGTCATGTGTATGACACTGTCGGAGGCTCTGAGAATTTTCCTTCTGTGTTCTCAGGAGCAGTTCATAGGTTTCCCAGACTATCATGTGGTAGCTGCCCCAAGCTGTGGCCAAACTGTCCACATGCCCCAACTAAAAAACTCACTGAGTGTTTTAAGTGGTAGGTGGGCAATCCAGGAGGGGAGACATTTAATAAGTACTTACAGAAATACTCAAGTGATGCTGAAAGAAAAGCTTTCATCAACGAAATACTCATATTGCTTCACTAATCTTTTAAAATGATATATTATTTTTCATCATTTGATAGTTTTAAATTTCTCTGCTCACAACAAAATTATTTTTGTTAAGTATTTGTAAGGAAACTTAAAATTGTGCTTATCAATTTGACAGAATCATTTTAAAAAAGTTCAAAATTATGAATTTTTACTTAAGTTCAAATTTTAAAGGAATGTCTGTCTCTGACTTATCATATTACAAATAAACCAGTAATGTCTGTGCATGATAGAAGAGAAAAAGCAAAGTGTTTTCACCTCCAATTGAAGAACATGTCATTGAGGGGCTAAAAATTATTGACAAGCTGTGACCCACAGTATGTTTTATGGAGTTGCTTTTACATCAGCTTCCTTATTGAAAGAAGAAGTTACCATTTAGATTACTTCAGTGGTAATCATCAGACATGAATAAATTATTTTAAATATATTTAATTGCTGATTCTGTAGTGTAAATATTTTTTTACAGAATTAAATTTTCAGTCTACTGCAAATTTTCTTAGAGATGATCTTCTCCATTTTCCAAACTCTGTATACCCATTTTTTCCCCTAAATTCATCCTAGGGCTATACTGCACTTACGCATTAATTAACTTTTAAAATGAAATAAAATTATCACTGCATAAAGATGATCTCTGTATATAGGGTGTCGCTGTGATATGAGTGTGACATCTAGCAGTGGTATCTGTGCATATAACACAATCACGTGTACTTTCTACTCATCCCATGTAATTACTCTTTACTTGAAAGACTTTGATCCTTCCTTTCCTTGCCTCTTTCTTTATTGGCCATTATCTTCATTTGCTAATTGAGATTCTATCCACCGTCTTCAATTACATTCTCCCATTCAAACATACAGTTCTAGACTCTGAGTTTGATGCTATTAATTTCTGTCTCAATAATTAGAATGACCCTTATAATTGCATGTTTTAACTTGATTATATTCCCTTCACTTCATTTAACTATGAGACTGCATTACTAGTGAGAAAAAAAAATGATGTTCCATTATTTATATAGCTGTTCTTTTTCTTTCTAACTTAAAGCTTCAAATTAATCGGGCATTCACAATTTGTGAATCTATTTTTAGGGGTCACTCCTGAAAATGAGTATATATGATAAACACTGTTGTCCATAAAATTCCCTCAGAGTAGAATGCTAAATTCTTTTCTGTGATCATACATCATTATGTTTGAAAGGAACAAATATCGATTGAGCATATATAGCCCGTCCAACATTTCGCTAATAATGTGACGTATCTTATTTGATTATTAAAACAATGTTTTAATCCACATTTTATTATTTCATTATATAAGTGGGCTGGGCAGGTTCAGCATTTACTGATCTCTCTAATAAGTTTTAAAAGATAATATACTTTGGGTAAGGCATGTGGAAGGTGTATTGGGGATTACAAGAATAAATTTACTGAAACCAAGGGCAAGCTTAGAACTTTACCCTCTTTTAAACAAATCATGCAAACGATAATCTAGATATATTCCGTTTTTTTCTTATGTATCATAAGTTTAAAGTAAACTGAGAATGAAACACAGAACCTAATCAGAAAACTAATAGGTCTATTTTGTTGGTGCTATGTTGTTTTTTTAGTTCTGTCTTCTTTTGGTGTGTTTAAGTTTTAGCATTGAAATGCTATTCAGGTAGGTTTAAATACCTAATTTAGGTATACACACACACACACACCGACACACACACACACACACGGGTGTGTATGAGTTTCTGTGTACTTAAAAATGTAAACATTACACACACATCACACACACACACACACGCAGACACAGACAAACAGAATCACCTAGCAAAGTACTAAGTACTTGTCCTGCCTTTGTGGTTATCACTGTGAAATCATGTTATAATCAACTAGGCTAAAGGAGAATTTATCATTTTATTTGTACGAATGTATATTACATTTGCATTTGCTGCATAGTCAATTAGTCACCTAAATCGTTAATACGTAATATTTCAATGACAAGATAAGAATTGTTGTTTATTTTGTTTTATGTTTAGAATTTCTGAGGGGAGATTATATTGAAAAAAGTATAAATGAATTGAGTCAATATTATTCTGATCATCTATAACTTTTCTTACAGGCAATGGAATGTAAATATAAATGAATTTTAAGCCTTATAGCAAGCTTTTCCATCCTGTGGCCCAGTAAGGCTTTGCATGTGGCCAAACACAAATTCATAAACTTTCTTAAAATATTGTAAGGTTTTCTGGTGATTTTTTTAAAGCTCATCAGTTATCGTTAGTGTTAGTGTATTTTCTGTGTGACCCAAGACAGTTCTTTTTCCAATGTTGCCCAGGGAAGCCAAAAGATTGGAGAACCCTGCCTTATAGTTTAAGCATTCAAAAAAAAAATAAATAAATAAATGAGAAACCGTACCATTGCATTTCTTTTAGCATGGATATATATGTCATAAATCATTATTGTTTTACAATAAATATCAAATTCAGATGAGATTGGGCACGTTCAGGGTGGTATGGCTATAGATAATAAGTACCAAATTTAAATCATCGGTGCTATATGGGATGTCTATTTATTCAATGCTTTCTCATTTACTTTTAAAGCAAATACACCAAAATAGATGGCTGTTTCGCAGCACTTGGAATTGGCTGGTCAATCATGTGTTGGAATGTTCAATAGGTCTGTTGTCCTATTTTCATATTTGGAGACTCTTTAGTTTTTTGCATTATTTTTCAGCTGGACTTTTTTGCTTTTATTCCATAATAGTGGGTACGGAAATGGTAAGCCATTATCACAGCATCATCCCCGGCTTAATTAACAGAGTGGGGCAATTTTGGCACCTTGAAAATTTAGAAATAAATATACCAATGCACAGTAATTACAAGTTCAGAATTTAGTATCGTGAGCTTTTAAATATCATAATTGTTGTTATTTTGGTTGGTTGGATTTGTGAACTCTTGTACCAAAGACATACAGATATTAGATTAACACAATGTTAGATAAGAAGGAATTCTAACAGTTAGTGCCATGTTTCCATTTTTCTAAGGTGAGTTCCATGACAACCAGTGAGCTACCTTGCCTTTCATATGGCCAGTGCTGGCAGGGCAGGATTAGAACTTCTTTTGTTTTGTTTTGTTCTGTTTTGTTTTGTATTTTATTTTATTTTTTCTTTTTTTAATTATTATTATACTTTAAGTTTTAGGGTACATGTGCACAATGTGCAGGTTAGTTACATATGTATACATGTGCCATGCTGGTGTGCTGCACCCACTAACTCGTCATTTAGCATTAGGCATATCTCCTAATGCTATCCCTCCCCCCTCCCCCCACCCCACAGCAGTCCCCAGAGTGTGATGTTCCCCTTCCTGTGTCCATGTGTTCTCATTTTTCAATTCCCATGTATGAGTGAGAACATGCATTGTTTGGTTTTTTGTCCTTGCAATAGTTTACTGACAATGATGATTTCCAGTGTCATCCATATCCCTACAAAGGACATGAACTCATCATTTTTTATTGCTGCATAGTATACCATGGTGTATATGTGCCACATTTTCTTAATCCAGTCTATCATTGTTGGACATTTGGGTTGGTTCCAAGTCTTTGCTGTCGTGAATAGTGCCGCAGTAAACATATGTGTGAATGTGTCTTCATAGCAGCATGATTTATAGTCTTTGGGTATATACCCAGTAATGGGATGGCTGGGTCAAATGGTATTTCCAGTTCTAGGTCCTTGAGGAATCGCCACACTGACTTCCACAATGGTTGAATTAGTTTACAGTCCCACTAACAGTGTAAAAGTGTTCCTATTTCTCCACATCCTCTCCAGCACCTTTTGTTTCCTGACTTTTTAATGATCGCCATTCTAACTGGTGTGAGATGGTATCTCATTGTGGTTTTGGTTTGCATTTCTCTGATGGCCAGTGATGATGAGCATTTTTTCATGTGTCTTTTGGCTGCATAAATGTCTTCTTTTGAGAAGTGTCTGTTCATATTGTTCACCACTTTTTGATGGGGTTGTTTGTTTTTTTCTTGTAAATTTGTTGGAGTTCATTGTAGATTCTGGATATTAGCCCTTTGTCAGATGAGTAGATTGCGAAAATTTCCTCCCATTCTGTAGGTTGCCTGTTCACTCTGATGGTAGTTTGTTTTGCTGTGCAGAAGCTCTATAGTTTAATTAGATTCCATTTGTCAATTTTGTCTTTTGTTGTCATTGCTTTTGGTGTTTTAGACATGAAGTCTTTGCCCATGCCTACGTCCTGAATGGTAATGCCTAGGTTTTCTTCTAGGGTTTTTATGGTTTTAGGTCTAACGTTTAAGTCTTTAATCCATCTTGAATTGATTTTTGTATAGGGTGTAAGGAAGGGATCCAGCTTCAGCTTTCTACATATGGCTAGCCAGTTTTCCCAGCACCATTTATTAAATAGGGAATCCTTCCCCCATTGCTTGGTTTTGTCAGGTTTGTCAAAGATCAGATAGTTGTAGATACGTGGCATTATTTCTGAGGGCTCTGTTCTGTTCCATTGATTTATATCTCTGTTTTGGTACCAGTACCATGCTGTTTTGGTTTCTGTAGCCTTGTAGTATAGTTTGAAGTCAGGTAGTGTGATGCCTCCAGCTTTCTTCCTTTGGCTTAGGATTGACTTGGCGATGCGGGCTCTTTTTTGTTTCCATATGAACTTTAAAGTAGTTTTTTCTAATTATGTGAAGAAAGTCATTGGTAGCTTGATGGGGATGGCATTGAATGTATAAATTACCTTGGGCAGTATGGCCATTTTCACGATATTGATTCTTCCTACCCATGAGCATGGAATGTTCTTCCATTTGTTTGTATCTTCTCTTATTTCATTGAGCAGTGGTTTGTAGTTCTCCTTGAAGAGGTCCTTCTCATCCCTTGTAAGTTGGATTTCTAAGTATTTTATTCTCTTTGAAGGAATTGTGAATGGGAGTTCACTCCTGATTTGGCTGTTTGTCTTTTGTTGGTGTATAACAATGCTTGTAATTTTTGTACATTGATTTTGTATCCTGAGACTTTGCTGAAGTTGCCTATCAGCTTAAGGAGATTTTGGGCTGAGACAGTGGGGTTTTCTAGATAAACAATCATATTATCTGCAAAAAGGGACAATTTGACTTCCTCTTTTCCTAATTGAATACCCTTTATTTCCTTCTCCTGCCTAATTGCCCTGGCCAGAACTTCCAACACTATGTTGAATAGGAGTGGTGAGAGAGGGCATCCCTGTCTTGTGCCAGTTTTCAAAGGGAATGCTTCCAGTTTTTGCCCATTCAGTATGATATTGGCTGTGGGTTTGTTATAGATAGCTCTTATTATTTTGAGATACGTCCCATCAATACCTAATTTATTGAGAGTTTTTAGCATGAAGGGTTGTTGAATTTTGTCAAAGGCCTTTTCTGCATCTATTGAGATAATCATGTGGTTTTTGTCTTTGGTTCTGTTTATATGCTGGATTACATTTATTGATTTGCGTATATTGAACCAGCCTTGCATCCCAGGGATGAAGCCCACTTGATGATAGTGGATTAGCTTTTTGATGTGCTGCTGGATTCGGTCTGCCAGTATCGTATTGAGGGTTTCTGCATCAATCTGCATCAAGGATATTGGTCTAAAATTCTCTTTTTTGGTTGTGTCTCTGCCAGGCTTTGGTATCAGGATGATGCTGGCCTCATAAAATGAGTTAGTGAGGGTGCCCTCTTTTTCTATTTATTGGAATAGTTTCAGAAGGAATGGTACTAGTTCCTCCTTGTAACTCTGGTAGAATTTGGCTGTGAGTCCATATGATCCTGGACTCTTTTTGGTTGATAAGCTATTGATTGTTGCCACAATTTCAGATCCTGTTATTGGTCTATTCAGAGATTTAACTTCTTCCTGGTTTAGTCTTGGGAGAGTGTATGTGTCGAGGAATTTATCCATTTCTTATAGATTTTCTAGTTTATTTGCGTAGAGGTGTTTGTAGTATTCTCTGATGGCAGTTTGTATTTCAGTGGGATCGGTGGTGATATCCCCTTTATCATTTTTTATTGCATCTATTTGATTCTTGTCTCTTTTTTTCTTTGTTAGTCTTGCTAGCGGTCTATCAATTTTGTTGATCTTTTCAAAAAAGCAGCTCCTGGATTCATTAATTTTTTGAAGGGTTATTTGCATCTCTATTTCCTTCAGTTCTGCTCTGATTTTAGTTATTTCTTGCCTTCTGCTAGCTTTGAATGTGTTTGCTCTTGTTTTTCTAGTTCTTTTAATTGTGATGTTCGGGTGTCAATTTTGGATCTTTCCTACTTTCTCTTGTGGACATTTAGTGCTATAAGTTTCCCTCTACACACTGCTTTGAATGTGCCCCAGAGATTCTGGTATGTTGTGTCTTTGTTCTCGTTGGTTTCAAAGAACATCTTTATTTCTGCCGTCATTTCGTTATGTACCCAGTATTCATTCAGGAGCAGGTTGTTCAGTTTCCATGTAGTTGAGCGGTTTTGAGTGAGTTTCTTAATCCTGAGTTCTAGCTTGATTGCACTGTGGTGTGAGAGACAGTTTGTTATAATTTCTCTTCTTTTACATTTGCTGAGGAGAGCTTTACTTCCAGCTATGTGGTCAATTTTGGAATAGGTGTGGTGTGGTGCTGAAAAACATGTATATTCTGTTGATTTGGGGTGGAGAGTTCTGTAGATGTCTATTAGGTCCGCTTGGTGCAGAGATGAGTTCAATTCCTGGATATCCTTGTTGACTTTCTGTCTCGTTGATATTTCTAATGTTGACAGTGGGGTGTTAAAGTCTCCCATTTTTATTGTGTGGGAGTCTAAGTCTCTTTGTAGGTCACTGAGGACTTGCTTTATGAATCTGGGTGCTCCTGTATTGGGTGCATATATATTTAGGATAGTTAGCTCTTCTTGTTGAATTGATCCCTTTACCATTATGTAATGGCCTTCTTTGTCTCTTTTGATCGTTGTTGGTTTAAAGTCTGTTTTATCAGAGACTAGGATTGCAACCCCTGCCTTTTTTTGTTTTCCATTTGCTTGGTAGATCTTCCTCCATCCTTTTATTTTGAGCCTATGTGTGTCTCTGCACGTGAGATGGCTTTCCTGAATACAGCACACTGATGGGTCTTGACTCTTTATCCAATTTGCCAGTCTGTGTCTTTTATGGATTAGAATTTCCTACTCCTATGTCCCTTCTACTAGAGGGTACTTCTACTGCCAAAATGGGGTATATTAGTAGGGATCAGAATGGTGATTGATATGTCACAGTGAAGGTATAGAACCAGTAGTGAGTGAGGAGGTTAGAAGGTGCCAGGATGAGAAAATAATCAAAAAGGAAAGGAAAGCTTCCAAGGTAAAAATCATGGTAAATAAGAGAAAAGGGAAAAATGAGAATAAGAGGCTTAAGAGTGTAGATTGTTGTCATACTAATTTATTTTCAATTTAAAAGGTTGACGTCAGCAAACAATATAGATAAGATGGACACTTGCTATAGAATTTTGTTCTCATTTTTTGCAGTCTAATCTACCAAATGTATATAAGAACGTACATAAGCTATATAGCCTACAGAGCCACATCCAACAGGGTGGATGTGGTTCTGCAGGGCTTCTGATCAAGACATAGAGTCTCTTTTCCACCCCTATAAATGTGGACTGCCCTTGAGACTTTCTGTCTACAAGAAGGTAGCAGGAGTGATTCTGCAAGGGTTCCACATCTAAGTCACACTTTTCTGCTCCTGCTTCTTGGGAACCCTGAAATGGCTATGGCGAGAAGCCTGGGCTAGCCTCTCAAGGACAGAGAATACAATGAGAGAAGCCCAGCTGCCCCATGCCACCAATGTCGACAGCACCTGCACAGTGACCACACAGAAAAGTGGTAATTAGGACTAGAAATCAACTGGACCCCATTACTCGCTTGGTAACATTTTGGTTATTTCTTTCCAGTTACTTTCACTCTGCATACTTTTATATATGCTGTTGTATTGCCATGATCATCATAGTATTCATGACTTTATATCTTTTTAACTTAATATTTCACCATTATTTTTCTAGGCAACATTCTCTTGGACAATAAAATTCTCCCTTCTGTGAGGACATTATGTATATGTAGTTTCTTTACCTTTAGATAGTTCTGACTTCAAGTTTTTGCCATCACAAATTATGCTGTGATAATTGCGTGATCATTGTATATTTACTCTCCTAATATACCTTTCAAAAAATCTAAGGGCTGGTTTTATCATGTCTACATTTATCCATTGGGCTTCTATCAGTTGTCTTTGTGTAATGTTTTAAGAAAATATATTTACAATTTTGGATGCTTTTGCTATCATAAAATAAAGATGTCAATTACTTAAACATATTCCGTTGAACAATAAAAGTATAGCGCAGGTAAGAGAGAAGATCAGACTAGAGCCCAACACTGTTAAAAAGTATTTAGAAAAAAGTGACGAAGATAACTTTAACCTAAACAATGGAAGATTCACTGTCCTAAGGATATGACCCATCAGCAGAGATAATTAAATATAAATGGTTTCATTTAATTGGTTGACATTGTGAGATCACCTTAGTGACTTGAGCTCAATTTTCCCCAGTAAGAAGTAATTAAAAATCACTTTTCAACAATGATCTTTCTTGATGGTCGAGGTCTTACACTATTCCTCAGATATTATTATTCTTGGCAGAAATTTGTCTATGAAAGTGCAAAGTAAAAGTCAGTGAAAGATGCCCAGGGTTCACTTAGAAAGGAATGTAATATACTTAAAGTGGAAAAGAGTGAGATAAGAGATTCCAATTCAGCAAGTATCTCAAAGAGCCATCAATACTAATTTTAAAGACTTCAATATTAAATTAAGGAGTTGACATCAGTTCTGCAAAGATGTCAGAGTGTGGCTGAGATGTCTAGTGTACATTAACATCAATATTTTATCTGAAATTTTGAGGCGAAGGTGTAATTTCTCTGGCACACAAACTAATCTGAATCTCTCACAATCTGTGTCGGTCTGTCTCTCTCCCTCCCCTCCCCCTCACATCCCTCTTCCTCACATCCCTCTTCCTCACATCCCTCTTCCTCTCTCTTCAGTGTTCTAGACACCTTTTTTCTTTGAGCATGTTAGCATGGGTCTGTTTCCTATAATTCCTACATTCCCAGGTCTTAGAGTTTGTTTTAATTATTATAAAAGAGGCTTCAGACATTGTGTATCCCAGCCAGAGTGCATGCAGTATTTATAAAAACATCTCTTTTGAGAGGTGGGTGGACATGGGGGTCATTTATTATATATACCCATAGTTTCTCAAAGATTTAATAACCTTCCAAACCTATTATTTAAACAATAGAAAAACCATTGTCAGGAGATTACATACACGGTGAAGTGCAATTTCTCTTAATTTAAAGGAATTAGGCCTTGCGCAAATGACTTGCTCTCTCAGAGACTGCACTTTAATCTGTAAAACGGGAATAATACCTAGGTCATGTAGTGGATGACCTTTAAAAATGATGAAATACTTAGCCTCTATTCTTGCTGAAGATTCATTTCCTTTTTAGCGCTTTGCTTTCAAGACGGTGTCCTCACATAGCTGCTGAGGCTCTGGGTTTTCCTCAGTAGTTTAACATTCTCCTCTAGGGGCAGCCACGAGCCTTTGGTGGGTGACCCTCCCTTTCCAGGCTTGCCCTACCCTCCACTCTGTGAGTCTCCCTGATGTTGATTGGATCATAAGCAGGCAGGTGGCCCAGGCCTAAACCAATGAACTCAGGGCATTCCCTTGGCCATGGTGATTGATCCAGGCATGGTCACATATCCTTTGCTTCCAGTCAGGAGAAAGTTTTTTGTTTTTGTTTCAAGGCTGAGGGAAGAAGCTAGTTCATACCCTGAGCCATGTGTACTGAGCCCAGAACTTCAGCTGCCACTTCAAACCCGGAGAGAAGAGACTTCCCAAGAAGTAGGGAAGAACTGAGAAGCCTGATCAGATTGTTCCTCAAGCGCACCTCACCACTAACTTTTGAGTCATAGAATGAGTTACTTTTAATATTGAAAATAAGTTTTTTATTAATGACAAAAAATTTTCTCATTGATTGCTGAATTATTTGAGTAATTCAGAAATTTTCCTACTACAGTTATCACAGTTTTGGGTCTGAAAAGTGGCATTCAGTGTTTCCGAACTTCCACAAAGCTATGTATCTAATAACTTTTAAACCCAGCGAATCATATTGTTACATCATTTGATAATTTTATCTTTCTCCTTTCTTGTAAACCACAAGAGGATGGTGTTTATCCCCATCTACCGAGAGCACTTAGCTGTGTCTCTAGATCCAACTTACTATCTCTTCTTCTGTGCTTCAGTAACGTCCTCTGGTGACCTTTACCTCTGTAGTCACCACGTTAAATGCAAACTTCTCTTTATGCCTCTGTCTCATCTTCTGTTCAGCATCACCACATACTGAATATCTGGTTAGGTTTGCCATATACAGCACAAATTTCCCACTTCAATTTGGAACTCAGACAAAGAACATTTTTAAAATTTTATTACATTCCAAATGTTGCGTGAGACAAGCTTGCATTAAAGAGTTATTGGTCGTTTATCTGAAATTCACTTTTAATTGAGCATCCTGTATTTTTATGCGCTATTATAATCAATCTAGCAACCCTATACTTGTTGCACTGTATAGTTACTTCCTCCGTGTGGTTCATACAACCTTTCCCTGAAATTAAGATGGAAGTTATTTATTGCTGGGCAGGAAATTTCTTGCAATATTAGGGGCTAAAATACCAAGCATTTATTATTTCAAGGTTTCTGTGGGTCAGGAATCTGAGCATGGTTTAGCTGCCTGCCTCAGCCCTCGAGGTTTTTCTGTAAGTTGCTGTTAACTTGTTGCTGGGACTCAGACTCAACTCCTGGAATGGGCTGGGCTCCCTTTTATGCCTACGCACACGGCTGTGGACAGCCCTCAGTCCCTTCCATATGGACATATCCAGGGGCTGCCTAAAGACATGGGATAGGCTTCTCTGTGGGTAAGGGATCCAAGAAAGAGGTGGAAGCCACAGTCTTTTTACAACCTAATGTCAAGTGATATCCTGTCACTTTTGCAATATTCTAATGAATATGTGTGAAACACCTGGTCCAGCCCATATTTAAGGGAGGACCGCAGGAGTTCATAAATACCAGGAGGGTGGGTTCCATGAGCTTAGTTAGATGTTCCTTACCATATATACAGTTCTGGATTTGTGGAGCCTCACTTTCCACTGCAAGCAAAGCAGAAATAGTTAGAGAATATTGTTGATCCTTCAGTTTTTTTTTTTAATTGTCATGTGAATAAGATAGTGTCTGTTGTAACACAACACCTGGGAAACCTAGACTATGCTGTGTAACGCGGGAGCCATGAGACCCACTGGCTATTTAGATTTGGATTTGATTTAATTATAGGTAATCCAATTTAAACTTTATTTTCTCAATGACACTAGTCATATCTCGGTAGCCACACCTGCTCAGTGGTTACTGCATTGCAAGAGGAAACAAAGAGGATTCCAGACATTCATTTGTTCAGTGCAGACTTGACCCTATTCTCTTGGTCCAGTGTTTTATTTTAGATGGCGTAGAGTTTTTCTCATTAAAAGGCACAAACACTTCTCTTAGGTCCATCTTTTCAAATTTTAGGTAGTCATGCACCTACTGAAATGATCCGCATGATAAACTCTCCGTGATACGCCTTCCCCTGAGAAAGAGATACTTTAAGCATCGTGCATTGTGTTTCCTTTTATTTGAAAATATTATGTGCTGCTTTGGTGGTATTAAACCGTGATATTCAAATGAAGGATGCTGATTATTACATTATGCAAGAAAGAACACAAAATCTAGAGTATTGCGAGAAACATAATTTATGTAAAAACATGCAGACAATTGCATTCAAGTATTTGATGTAAGTAATGAGAGAATCACACATAATGGGCATTTTTTATTAAACTGGGATTTAGATGATTTGTCTAATGAATGAAGTTACTCAAGTAAATTGGATTGTGAGCCAAGAAATAAAAAAGAATAAAATAAAAAGATGAAAATTTCAGAAGCTTGGCACATAAATATCAGAATAAGCAAATTAACTTTGTTCTAAATATTCTACCAGTTTATCTGCATTGGGAAAAAAACAGGCAAGTTTGGGATTTGGCTTAGTGAAATTTAGTGGGACCGTCCCCTAAGGAATTGTGTAGTATTTGGCAACGTATCACTCCATATCCAGTAGTTATTGTACATTTGTTAAGTGTCAACTAAAGAAACTGTAGAGTACAAAGATTGATCACATATGCATCTGTTCTTATGTATTTCTTAGTTCAGGAGAGCCAATAAGTCATGCATAAATTGATTGTATTACAAAGTAATTAATAGGGTCAAATATTCACAATAAATACCATAAGAAATTGTAGAGAAAATTCAAGGAAGGTAAGGAGTTGTTTCCACAACTGTAATCCCTACACCTGGAAAACAGCCTGGCGTAGGGTTGCTTACAATAAATGCCAGGTGAATGAATGAGTTAGGAAAACTGCATGGACAAGTGAACGGTTGAGCTGGACCTTTGCGGGTAGGTTTCACACAGGTCTGTGATGGTGATGGATATTTGATCCAGAGGAAACTAACAGCATGGGCACTAAGCAGGAGCATGGATACCTCACCTTTGTGTGCTGAAGGGCAGGTAGTACAGCTGGACTCTGGTAAGCACCGTGGAGGGGAACACTGACAGATGAGGATGGAGAGATCGGTGCATTCTGCATATGGAAGGCCATTATCCCATGCTGAAGGTGTGAACTTACAGTCTCAGTTCGTCAACTGCAGCCCTGGGATAATGACATTTGCGTAACACAGCTTGTACAGGCATTGGAATAAGTGAATGGGAAAAGTGATTTGAATGCACTTTGCAGGGTGGAAAGGAGTAAAAATGTTACAGGAATTCATGCTTATGTTATAAATGAGAGAAGATCATGATGAATACATAGGTAATCCCCAAACAGAACCATTTGAAATTCTGTGTCCCTTAGCTACCTTTTTCTAAACAGTATTAATTTAGAAAAAAAAAAATCCACATGCTAGCTATATCAGTTTACTTTTGTCAGAGTTCTAGCTCCTCCAACTTATTCTACTTCTCTTAAGTGAATGTAATAAAACAAATGTTTTCCACCCAGAATTCATGTTTGTAGAAACAGAATTTGAAAGTGTACTGCTAAGGTTTTCATCCATTGTCCATGTTCCATATTCCAATACTCCGACTATAGACTTTACCTCTACTTAATAACATTTCATTAATCTCATTACAGTCAGAAGGAAGTAGAGGCACCTATAGATTAGGAAAAAGGGGAAGTATTTGAACATTTTAAATTCAAGGTATACATGCATATGCTTTTCACAGGTGGCTCTTGAATTCAATTTTTCATAAATTATCCGAATATACGGAACTGCATGAAATGAGACAGAATTTGTTACTTTTTATATCATTGAGACGCAAATGCTTAAATTCATAGACTCTACCCAAGGCAAGGGGGTAATTCAAAAAGAGAAAGAGAGATGGGGAAAGAGAAGAGATAACAGCTAGTTCTGCAGAGAGAAACGCGTGGACTGTGAAAGGTCCTTCACTCTTATCAACAAGGAGGTTTGGGTAACTTTTACAAGAGAAGCCCCTGGAGGGAGAAAACAGGTTAGGGATACATATTTTTAATCTTTGACTCACCCACAATTCCTTACCTAGAGGTTTTGAGTATTCAAATAATTATTTAATCTCTTATTGATTTTACGATCTCTTAGGCTCTAACACTCTTCTATGCACAAAGGATACAGTATGGAGGAAAACACACACGCAAGCCAAAATCTCTTCTGAGTTACGTTCTATAATAATAGTGGAAACAGGTACTCATAGAAAACAGAAGTAAATTACACAGTATCCTAAATGATGACGCATGCTATGGAAATAATTCAGGAAGGGCAGACAGAAAGTGCTGCTGGTGGAAGGAAGATACGTTTAACGGTAAAGAAGCATCCCATGAATAGTCCTCAAGGGGGCGTTTGAACCTCCACAAGTGAGAATGGGGTAGGGAGCAAGCCATGCACAGGGCAGGGAGCCATCCAGGAGTGTGCTCTTCCGGCGTTGGCTCTCATGGCGTCCCTGCAGCAGCAAGGGACTGATGCACTTTTTCTCATATTTCACAAGATTCTTCTAATGCCTGTGTTGAGAAGAGCAAAATATGAGAAAAGTAACATGAGTTTGGAGGCTGCCATTTCATCTGGAGGAGAGAAAATGGAGACAAGGCCGCAGTAGAGGTGGTCAGAATTGAGTCAGATTTGGGATATGTTGAAGAAAACTAGCTGAAAGATTAAAGGTGGGATGTGAGAAAAAGACGAGTATTTACAATGCCTCATGTTTTTTGGCCTGAGGAAGTGGAAAACGCAGTCGCCATTTATCTAGATGGAAGAAGGCACATGGGAGGGACCAGCTTTAGAGGAAGGATCAGGAGTTGCCTTTTGAGCTCAGGAAGATTGAGGCACCCATCAGACATCTGTGTGCAGTATTGAGAACACTGCTGGACTTTGCTCAGACATGTGTTGGTGACGTACACTATGTTAACATTCTGAAACCGTAGAGACGGTGTTTACACCATTAAGCTGGGCATCACCACCAGTGAGCTTACAGGGATGAGAAAAGAGGTTCAAGGACTAAGCCAGCAGGCTTACAGGTAGGGAGAAACATCCAGAGGTCAGAAAGAAAAGAAGAAACCAGCAACTGGAACAGAGTAAGAGTAAGCGGCTGATAAGATAGTAGGAAAATGAGGAGAACGGCCTGAGGATAGCAGAGATGATCAGGTACCTCAAAGGCCAAGGTTAAACAGAGCAAGGCCTGGCACTGGCGGTTGGATAAGCAGTCCTGATATCATCAGTCACCGTGTCTAAAGCAACTGTGGTGGAGGCTGAAGACAACAGAGAGCCGGAATGAAGTTAGTTCAAAGGAAAATGAAAGGGAAGAGGAGAGTTTTATTGTAAGGAAAAGAAATAAAGCCTAACTTGAATAGCCAATGAGGTCTAAGAGTTGGGTTCTTTTTTTGTGTTTTAAAAAAGAATTAATAACAGCATTTTTTAAAAAATGTGAGAATGATGTACTCCAGAGTAGAAAACATGATGATCTAAGATGTTCATCTTGCACACATGTTGGTAGCGTTTTGTCCCTGCAAAGCCCGTCTATTGTCCTTCTGCTTCTCATCTGCTCACTGTTGTGTTCTGTGTCTGTAACTTATTTTAATCTAGTGTTGCATGTTAGAGCCCTTTTTTCTACTTTTACCACATCCCTTTTCTAAAAATACGTTATATTGCAATATTACTAAAATATAAAAAATAAATGTAAAATATATATTGAGAGAGAGAGTAAGGGTCTCACTCTGTCACCAAGACTGAGTACAGTGGCGCAATCAAGGATCACTGTAGCCTTGACCTTTTGGTCTCAAGGGAGCCCTTTCTGCCTCAGCCTCCTGTGTAGTTGGGAGTACAGGTGCATCCTACCATGTCAACTAATTTTTTTGTGTGTGTTTGTGTATATATGTGTGTGTATATGTATATATACATACATACGTGTGTGTGTATGTGTGTGTGTGTGTGTGTGTGTGTGTGTGTATATTTTTTTTTATTTTTGAGACAGAGCCTTGCTCTCTTTCCCAAGCTGGAGAGCAGTGGTGCGATTTCAGCTCCCTACAACTTCTGCCTCCTGGTTTCAAGCAATTCTACGGCCTCAGCTTCCTGATTAGCTGGGATTACAGGAGTCTGCCACCACGCCTGGCTAATTTTTTGTATTTTTAGTAGAGATAGGGTTTCACCATGCTGGCCAGGCTGGTCTTGAACTCCTGACCTCAGGCAGTCCGCCTGCCTCAGCCTCCCAAAGTGCTGAGATTACAGGCCTAAGCCATCATGTCTGGCCTTTTTATATATAATTCTTGGTAGAGATGGAGTCTGAGTATGTTGCCCAGGCTAGTCTCAAACTCCTGAACTCAAGCAATCCTCCTGCCTTGGTCTCTAAAAGTGCTGGAATTACAGGTGTGAACCACTGCACCCAGCCTGACTATTTATCATTTTAAATTGATCATATAACCAATATCTTTTTATGTGGCCAATCTGTATCTTCCAAACAGATGGATTTATCTGTCCCCCACATATCCTTTTTTCTGCCATTTGCATATCCTTAAATGGTTGAATTTTTGCTGCTAATTTCTGCAACAAGCAAGATTTTATATAAATCAGAGGTAGCTACATACATTTTAGAAAATGTTATAGGTTTAATTTTTCTAATGTAGTCTCTCAGCCACCGTCATTCTATTCCAGTGTGTTAACATTTCTATTACCATTTCTTTTACATGAACACTTTAGCCTATGAAATTTAACATAGTTTGTTATTTAAATTGAAGTGTCACCAGGCACCCTTCACAAAGTCTTACTTAGATACCTCTAAGTTACGTAAGAATGCTTTCTGTTATAGACACGAATTTTCTAAACTGCAAGGAAAAACTGTTTTTCTCACCTTCGAAGACACTCCTTCCCTAAAATCAGGATTTTCCAAGTTAAAATACAGGCCCTCTGGAAAAAATTATCTGGTTTTCTACTTCAGAAGTAGGTAGAAAAAAAAATGTCACCTAAGTAACATCTTGGGTTTATATGGGAAGTTGAGGGTTTTACATTTATCTACAGATATTCTAAGTTTTTTTCTCCTCCCCGTTTGTTGCTGTTTTCTAGCAGTCCCCTGGGAAACACAAAAAGATTTCACAAACACCCAGCACAGGGGCAGGCAGAAAGCACAGTGCCTTCAGCATGTGCTGTCTGACATGGTGGCCACTGACCCCACCTGGCTGCTGAGCATTCAAAATGAGGCTGCTGCTGCTAAGGAAATACATTTTAAATATTATTTGTTGTTCATTGAAACAAATTTAAATTTTAAAAAGATAAGTAGTGTAAAATATTGTCTCATTAAACACACCCTGATCATTTTGGTAGGGCTACATTTTGCTTTTTTTATGCTTCAATAGTTTTGGGGCAATAGGTGGTTTTGGGTTACATAGATATGTTCTTTAGAGCTGATTTTCTTGATTTTGGTGCACCCATCACCCCAGCAGTGTACACGGTACCCAATATGCAGTCTTCTGTCCCCTGCTCCCATCCTACAGTTCACCGTGAGTCCCCAAAGTCCATTATATCATTCTCATGCCTTTGTATCCTCATTGCTTAGCTCCCACTTATAAATGAGAATATACAGTATTTGCTTTTCCATTCCTGAGTTACTTAACTTAGGGTAATGGCCTCCAACTTCATCCAGGTTGCTGCAAATGTTATTTCATTCTATGTTATGGCTATTATTGTGTGGTATATATACATTTTATCTTTAATTGTGGGAACTTTAGCATCCAAATAACATGTGCTGTAGGTGTATAATACGTATGGTCTTTTATAGACCTGTTACAAAAAAGATAATACAAAATATTCCATTAAGAACTTTTATGTTTATGTATTTTATATCAAATGCATATTGATATGATAATCTGGATATATTGGGTTAAATGAAATATGTCATAAAACTGACTATTTTGCATTTGCTTTTCAAGTAGACTACTACAAATTTAAAATAATGTTATGGGGTTCACATTATGTTTGCATCAGACAGTGCTGCTCTATGACCTCATCATTAAGAATGTAATTAATGCAAGATTGGGAATTCACTTATTAAAGTGTGAGCATGTAAATAAGGTCAAGAAAAGGATATAAAGAGATGTACAGTCCCATAATTGCAAACTTTGTTTCAATTGTTATTACTTACAGTGACACCTTGAAGAGTAAGAGTAATGATAGTTTATCCAGTATATATATATCTGATACTGTGCTAGGCACAGGTTGGTTGGTGCAAAAGTAATTTGCTTTTACTTTCAATGGCAAAAAACGCAATTAGTTTTGCAACAACCTAGTAAGAGTGACATAATGCGGCTGGAGTGACAACACGTGAGCTAACACCTCATGGCATGACCAGGAAGAAATGATGAGATGCTTAGTGATTAAACTTGTAATAAAAATGATACTTGGGCCGGGTGTGATGGGTCACGCCTGTAATTCCGGCACTTTGGGAGGCCAAGGTTCAATGATCCCTTGTGTCAAGGAGTTCAAGCCAAGCCTGGGCAACATAGTGAGACCATGTCTCTACAAATAACTTTAAAAATTAGCTGGGCATGGTGGTGCACCGGAGGTCCCACCTACTTGGCAGGCTGAGGTGGGAGGATGACTTGAGCTTGGGCACTTGAGGCTACAGTGAGCAATGACTGCCATTGCACTCAGCCTGGGCGACATAGCATGACACCACCTCAAACAAAACATGATGCTTATATTTTCTACAAATGGCACATCTTTTAGTAAGAGTTGTTTTAGAGTCCTAAGGAATTTGTGGGACACCACGTGTTTGCGCTTCTACAGCTGAGATACCCGGCACACAGAACTTAACCGAGTGGATCAACAGCTGTAACTTTCGCTGCAACAGACCTCCATGTCCTTTTGAAAAGAACAGTGACACCTGGAGGGTGTGTAGCTCTTTGGGTTGCTGATAGTTACTGGCTAGGCGTAGGTATCATATTAAGCAGTGGAGGCTGAAATATAGATACCTGTCATGCATGCACCAGCACATGAATTCTTAGTTTCTCTAAACACACATCTGTACCCACCTAAACTTCACTGTCTACACAGCCTCTACCAATACAGAAACCTCAGGTGTCATGGACAAAAACATACAAGAACATAGGAAACTCTACAATAATTATAAAAATTCCTACTGCTCAGTTGAAACAGATAATGAAGTCTCTTTTTCAGGACTACTATCAAACTATATATATACATATATATATATTTTTTTTTTTCTTTGAGATGGAGTCTTGCTCTGTTGCTCAGGCTTGGAGTGCAGTGGCACAATGTCAGCTCACTGCAAGCTCCACCTCTGGATTTCACGCCATTCTCCTGCCTCCGCCTCCCAGGTAGCTAGGACTACAGGCACAAACTGTATTTTTTAAATACTTTTAGTACTTGAATCTTTCCTCCACCTCAGCAACATATTTTAAAATCTTATATTCTCAAAATTCAATCGTGTCTTGTGTGAGGGACTCAATCACAGAAGTATGTAAACCAATAAGGTACCTAAATAAATTACTACTATGAAAACATTCAAGAAGATTTTGGGCGGGGCTTGGTGGCTTATACAACAGCTTATATCTAGATTTACGCCTGGGGACATTGGTAGGATTAGCTGGCATTGCGTTTGATTAGTTTAGGGGTTCATTTCTGGGAAGCATGCCAGGCTGTTTCAGAGGTCACCTGCAACCCTCAAGGATATTAGCATCACTTACCTGAATGTGTAAGTGTTCTCTGTCCAACAAGTACAGTGTGTGACTGTTGTTTTATGAATACTATTTAGATATGTTTTTAAATGTAGATGGATTCTATATTTATCATTTGTATCCATTAAAGAAAATTAATCTTTTTTAACATCATTTTGTTTTTTTCTAACTTTTGTATATTTCAAATATTTTTGTCATTTTTTTTTCTTCCAAAAATCCTGTATTAATTCCTTAAACTCATATAATCTAATGATTACATTTTAAGAGAACACTATCAGGTATAATAAAATTTAAAAGTATTCTTTAAAAACATGATAAGTATTGGAGTTTTCTTAATGTAATGTTTATAAAGAAGAGAAGGGAATGACACATGTACCAACAGCTTACTCTGCTTATTTAATTTCTCCTCACGATTATTCCTCAATCCCACATCACCACCCTAAAATTAATTTGAGAAGCCTGGAAAACTTATATAACAGATGGAAAGTCACCTAACGAGTAACCAAACCTTGATTCAAACCCAGTGTTTCTCTTTTCATGGCATGGTATTTAGAGTAGTAATTTTTGAATTAATGATGAAGGGGTATAGGTGTAGAAAATTAAAATGTAATGACACTGTTGAATAAGTCATTACATTTCCAAAATTGTAAGCTTAGCAGTATTAGTGCTACTGATTAATCAAGATCATCACATCCACCATAAAAAAATTTTATTATTTATATGTTACTTCTTGTTTTAAAATTATTTCCTTGAATTTTACTCCACTTACCATATGTAGATAGTCAACAGAGTTTTGAAAAAACACTCACTTTAAAACAGGAAGTTTTATCTAGCTAGATTTAATTCACACCAAATGATGCTGTAGCTTTACCTAATATTAAATATTTCACAAAACAATGTCTGTACTGTGAGTTGAAGGATAAAATCTAAATAAAAGTAACTCACACATTAAAATACAAACGTAAAAACAAGAAAAAAGAAATTGGCCAAAATCCATAACACCAACAATGTAGATTGCTGTCTTGGATATGGAGTAAAATAACTCTGAGTTATGGCTGATGGGAATGCGAAATGGAACAGCCACTTTGGAAGACAATTGGGTGGTTTCTTAGAAAACTAAACATACTCTCAACATGCAGTCCAGGAAGCACACTCCTTGTTATTTATCTGAAGGAGCTAAAAACTTACGTGTACTGAAAAACCTGCCAAGGGATGTTTTTAGAAGGTTTATTCTTGGTTGCCAAAATCTGGAAGCAACCAAAGTGTACTTCGGTAGGTGAAATGATAAACTTGTGGTGTATCAGACAATGGAATATTATTCATTGCTAAAACAAAATTAACCGAAAGCCATGCAAAGACATAGAGTGAACTGAAGTGCACGTTACTAAGTGAAAGAAGTCAGTCTGAAAAGGTTACCCACTTTGTGATTCCTACTCTAGGGCATTTTGGAAAAGGCAGAACTGTAGAGACAGTAAAAAGACCAGTGGTTGCAAAGGGTTGGAGGAAGGGGAAATCAACAGGGAAATTTTTAGGGCGGGGAAACTACTCAGTGTGATACTGCAATGGTGAACACATAGCATTATATATTTATCCACACCCATAGCATGTACAATACCAAGAGTGAACCCTATTGTAAACTGGGGGTTTGGATGATAATGACTTACCAATGTAAGTTCATCGATTGGAACAAATGCACCACTCTGGCGTGGGATGTTGATAGTTGGGGAGGCTCTGTGTATGGGAGCAGGTGTTACATGACATATCAGTGTACCTTCTACTCAATGTTTTTTGTGAACCTAGAAAAACTGCTCTTAAAATATAAAATCTATATTTAAAAAATCAAAGTAACTTAGGTAAAATAAATTAAAAATATCAAAATTTAATATTCTGGCAAGTTAGATTTATGAGGATCAAAACTGTTCATCAAACTGGCTTAAATTTTGTGTAAGTCTTGAATTCACCTCTATTCTGTTTATTATTTTATCAGTTACACTATATCCTCAAAGATTTACTGTCAAGATAAAACCAAAAAACATTTGAACATCAAAATTACCTAAAAACAAGCACTTTTCTTTTGTAGTAACATAAATCCATTAAACTTTGCTGAGTTTTCTTTAGCAAACTTTATTATTGGAAAATCTGCTACATTTTATTGCAGAATGTTTCTTAGATGAATACTGGTAACATAACAATTAAAAGACATGCATATAATTTTGGAAAGAAAAGTTGCGCAAAGCAGGCAGGGAAACTAATTACGATGTCGCACTGGTTTAGTTTATTTAGAATCATGTAACCATATATTGCTTCAGTGTTTAAATGTTGCCTTAATGCTTACTTGCTTATCAAGGTTGACATTAAGGGAAATTGCTTAGTTTAGCAAAGTCGAAGGCAAATACAGAATGGTTAGTCAAAGGCACAATGCCACCATAAAGAAATTAATTTTAAAGGTATGTTGTGTACTATACTTACTGAATATTTAAACGAAAGGGATATGAACTGATGAAGTCTTGACTTACTGAACCATTATAAAATCTAAAAGAATTAAATTCTATGGCAAAGAAAAAAATGCAGTGACATATCATATAGCAGATTATGAAAAAATGAACAAATTTTGTTTCTTTTGCACAATTCAAAATATCTGATTCCTTGAAACTGGTTCCAGAATCAGTAAAAAATGATGGCAGCAATGGTTTTCTTATGATTCGTGGCAGATTTTTCTGCTAAATTGTAATAATTTTTATGGCTGTTGTTGACGTTGGAAGAACACATTAAACTTTTGACATTTTAAATTTAGATTTTTAACAGGTATAGATCAAAATGTACCGCTTGATGAACTCTGTCCAAAACAATGTCAAGTAGTAGGAGGTGCACAGTGGACTTTGCGTGTTCAGCTTGGGTTCAGTCCTTTTTCTTTTATCTCAACAGCAGCATGACCTTGAGTAAGCCATTCAACTTATTCCAGTTTCAATTTTCTCTTCTAAAAAATTAAGGAGGAATGACAAGTTTACCTCTAAGATTCCTTTAATTCTGTGGCTGAAAGCCTGCATTTTTACAGTCAAAGAGACCGGGATTTTAGCCCTAATTCTGTCACTTACTGTTTCTTATCAATTATGTGTAGCTGGTGAGTTATGTAATGTTTCTAAGGCTCACATGTAAATGCAGATGGTAAGAGTGCTTGCTTTAGAGGGTTGTTCATGGAATTAAATGAGATAGGAAGTAGCACATTGCAAGTACTTCATCCTTCTGAACTTTTATCATGTCTTAAGACATGACTTTTTTTTTTTTACATTATTTGTTTATATTTCCTGGAAATGTATCTCTTACATTATTTACATTTCCTGCAAATCTGGGACTGCTCAGTTTTTAAGAAGTGCCGTGATTTAATGCAAACCAGAAGAAGAAGGACAAAGTGATCACCAAAGAATAATTAACAATTTTTATATCAACTGATAAATACATCTGATGAGGTATGCAGTGGCCTCAAGTAATATTAAACCACTTGTTCAGCAGAGAACAACAGCAGTATGTCCTTTTTAGAATTTCTCCTTAAGGAAATATTAGAAACTTCAAGTTCCTTTTCTTCTTCTTTTCTGATATTTACAGTACACCACCTTCACGGGTAAAATGATGCTTTCATCCAAGTGTGACTGAGTAAATGTAGTATCACCTTATAGAAAATAATTGCAACTTGCCACAAGGCAAGAGTGAAGACATGGAGTGTGGGACATTGCGTGGACATGTGTCTGTGCACACACAAGTACAAAGACTTCCAGAGTGTCTGCAAGAAAGTGGGGACATCCACAGTGTGTAAATGGAGGCTTCAGCCTCATGCAAGATGAGAAACGTGGATATTTAAATCACCTGAAAATCTCCTTTTCCTTGCTTAAGCATAATGATTGTCTGACTTTCAACCGATGTTCGGACCTCATGAAGACACATGACCAACACTTACTTTATTGAAATATATTCTTTATTCTGGACTATTTCATTGAATTTAAAGTTGCGTATATATATGTCAACATAACACCAAATTTCCAAAGTTGGCTTCATTACTTTACAAAAAATGGTTTTCAATCATTATTTTATTTTTATGCTTGTTGCTGGAGAGTTTCCTAAATTCAGTACTTTCCAAGAATCAGAATGTTTTGTGTTACTTTATGATAAAGTTAGACTTTAGAAAGAACAATTAGCCAGATTTTTGCTATATAAAAGACAAATACTTCCCCTTAAGTCTTAGTCAGTAAATCATAATTTTCAAAGTTAATACTTGGAATTAAGACGTTATTTTTTAATGTCCTCAGTGCTTTTTCTTTTTTTTTTTAAATTCCATACTTTTGGAGAACAGGTGGTATTTGGTTACATGAAAGTTCTTTGGTGATTTCTGAAATTTTGGTGCACCCATCACCAGAGCATTATACATTGAACCCAATTGGTAGTCTTTTATCCCTCACCCCCTCCCACCCTTTCCCCTCAAGGCCCGAAAGTTTTTTATATCATTCTTAAGCCTTTGCATCCTCATAGGCTAGCTCGCACTTATGGGTGAGAACATACGGTCTTTAGTTTTCCATTCCAGAGTTACTTCACTTAGAATAATGGTCTCCCTATCCTGGCTAACACGGTGAAACCCCATCTCTACTAAAAATATAAAAAATTAGCCGGGCGTGGTGGCGGGCACCTGTAGTCCCAGCTGCTCGGGAGGCTGAGGCAGGAGAATGGCGTGAACCCGGGAGGGGGAGCTTGCAGTGAGCCGAGATCGCGCCACTGTGCTCCAGCCTGGGCGACAGAGTGAGACTCTGTCTCACAATAATAATAATAATGGTCTGCAATCCCATCCAGGTTGCTGTGAATACCATTAATTCATTGCTTTTTATGGCTGAGTGGTATTCCATCATATATATACCACAGTTTCTTTATCCACTCGTTGATTGATGGATACATTTTTACAGTAGTGAATTGTGCTGCCATAAACATTCATGTGCAAATACCTTTTTCATATAATGACTTCTTTTCCCCTCGGTAGATATCACATAGTGGGATTACTGAATCACAAATAAAAATATTTCCTCCATTTGAGTACTAATAATGGACATTAATTTAGCTTTTAAAATACTTGAGGTATAAATTAAACTTACACTAAATGCTACCCCAATGAGTAAAACATTTCACGGTTATCTATCAATAAAGAATTACGGGCTGGGCACGGTGGCTCATGCCTGTAATCCCAGCACTTTGGGAGGCCGAGACAGGTGGATTACCTGAAGTTGGGAGTTCAAGACCAGCCTGCCAACTATGGAGAAGCCTCGTCTCTACTAAAAATACAAAAATTAGCTGGGCCTGGTGGTGCAAGCCTGTAATCCCAGTTACTATGGAGGCTGAGGCAGGAGAATCGCTTGAATCTGGGAGGTGAAGGTTGTGGTGAGCTGAGATTGTGCCACTGCACTCCAACCTGGGCAACAAGAGTGAAACTGTCTCAAAAAACAAATAATAATTATAGAAAGATAATCTTTCTTTTCAGCTGGAAACAGTAGTAAACTGAGGACTTGAGATTTCAGATTCTGAAAACTGACTTCCTATTATTGGATTCTACATCATCCCATATGATAAACTTGGGAAAGTTCTAAAATCCCAACACTTCAGTGTTCACACCCATCAAGTGACGATGATGGTGGTTCTCATGGGGTTGTGATAAGGACTGAATGGGGTGGTTTAGGAATAGCTGCTGGCCCATAATACTCATTATTACGGCGTTGATCTTCCACTACCACCAGCAACGCCACTGTGAAAATTATCATTTCTGGGCCAGAAAAATAAGAAGGAGGGGAACGAGGACTGTTCTGTCATAGTGAACCTAGGACACAACCTAGCGGCTGTGTTAATATTACTGTTTCTTTGGGAGTTTTTCCAATATCCTTTTGCCATACTGATGACTGCACTAGCGGCTGTATTAGTATTACTGTTTCTTTGATTTTTTTTTGTTTGTTTGTTTGCAATATCCTTTTGCAATAGTGATGACCGCACTAGTGGCTGTATTCATATTACTATTTCTTTCGGGTTTTCTTTGCAATGTATTTTTGCAGTAGAGATGATTGCATCCTTCCTCCAAGGGCTTGACATGTACTTCTGTTGTTTAGTCTTCCCGATGTCTGCAGAGCTGGCATGGGGGCATGATCCTCCGTCCTAGCATCAATGGTGCCAAAATAAGTATGTCTGGGCTTAGGAAAGGAGAGACTTCACTAAAAATGATGAAGGCCGTAGGGAGAATGGTCTGACCTCAGGGACTGCAGGGATCTTAAGCTCAAACAGAAAAAAAAAAAAAAGGGTTTTCTTGTATTGTAATGGGGAAGCAGGGGTAGGGGTAGCAGGAGCTTTGAGCAGGCATTGGTTCCGTGTATGGGGGCAGTTGAGCAGGAAAGGGTCCTAGCAACAGTTGGCCAATCTCGGCATACGTTGCTAAAAGATGTTCTGAACCTTACAGCTTGCTTAACCTCAGGGACAAGCCCAAGTTCAGCATCCTGTTGTCCTGTGGGGAGGATAGGACCAAGCCCAACTTCAGCATCCTGTTTTCCTGTGGGGAGGATAGGAGACTGACTAAAGCTGGACCAAGGCCCTGGGCAAGTTCACCCAGCTGTGAACGCTGGACCAGGCAGGTCAGCCCTGGCCCTGACTCCTAGGAAAAGGACGGCCAGAGGGACAACTGTGCAGACCCACCCAAGGCCGGTTGGGCGTGAGGGGATGCCCTCACCCCATGCCCAGATAACAGAGGTCTGAGCTGTTCTGAAAATCAACTCTGCGTGAAAGATTTGCATTTGTTACATGACCGGCAGAGGGTCTTAGCAATACGGGGGAATGACAACACAGTCATTGACTAGAGGTAGCTAGAGCTGCTTTAACCAGTTCTTTGAGCCTCTTTCTCCGCTAGTCAGAAGGAAGGAAGGAAGGAAGTGAAGGAGGGAGGGAAGGAGGTAGGGGAAAATAGAGAAAGAAAAAGGACGAAAATAGAAAATTTTCAATTCAACCTTTGAGCTGGCGTGAATAAACATTTTCTTCAAAGAAAATGATGGTAAATATCTTGGGCTCTGCCCACCCTGAGTTGCTGGTGCAGTGACCCAGCTCTGCAATTGCATCACTAAACTAGTCACAGACAGGATGTAGACAAACGGGCCCTGTTGTGTTCTTATAAACTCCTTCTGTGGACACTGAAATGTAAATTTCATACATCGTCACTTGTCCCAAAATCTTCTTCTGATGTTTCTTCTACCACTTAAAAATATAAAATACACTCTTAGGGTTTCCACAAGATAGGCAGTGAGATTTGTCACCCTGGCCATGGCGGGTCCATCCCTGTTCTGGTCTACAGGCTCCTTGTGTGCATAACATGCCCCTCAATGCCTGGCCACCACCCCTACTTAATATCATCTGGGATGTATGCATCATCTGCCAAGCAGTTGCAAAGTTGGTTGGATAGATAAAGTTTCGTAACCCTCACAAATGTCCGGAGAGGTAAGAAAAATGCACTCCATTTTATGTATGAGGAGACTTAAGCTCAGATAAATTAAAAAGCCTCCCTGTGATTGTGTTCATAGTACTTGCTGCTCGCTGCTGGGATCTGTAATTTGGGCCCTTCCCAAAAGTCTGTACTGTCTGGATTTCCTGTTCAAAGGTTGAAGCTGTCACTGGCCCCACTGCAAACTGCACATAGTCTCTTCTTGGGCCCCTGACAGTACAGAAAATTATCTTAAATCACAAGCAGATGGGTACCTGGTATCACCAAATAGCAAAAACTACTGTTTCCCATTGTTTTTAATATTGTCACTAACTGAATGCTTTTGGGTATGTGGATAGAAGTGATCTTTTAGAATTTGAATTTAGTAAGTCAAATAAGAGGAACTTACTTTATTACACATAAGGAAGATAAAGAATTGGACATAAAAATGCTCAATAAAAGAGTTAGCACCAATAGCATATTTATCCTTTCTTTCTCAAGTCAGTACAGAGACTCATTGAGAAATTTTATGGACTTGCCATTGGCTTCTGCATTCATTTAAGTTTTATCAAAACCAGAGAGAACATAAACTTTGCACGGCCGTTCAGAGCCTTCATTGAAAAGGAGAAAGCATTTTCAACCCCATCAACTCTTTAGCCATAATTAAAAAGTTAGTAAAAAGAAAGATTTTGCTACCACCCCAAGGATATCACAGTGATCCCAGTCCAGATATGAAACCTTGTTCCCACACCCCTCACACAACGAATTGCCTCTGGGTGGTGTGAGGCAGAGGGACTCTTAATGTCAGGATCGGATGATTATTATGCTCTGATAACTCCAGCCAGCCCTATTCCAATTCCATTTCTGTAGGAATCTATGGAGCTCATCTGAGGAACCAGGCCACTGGGTCTGTGACTCCATTAGGCTTTTTTGATGTTTATCAGCAGACTTTGGTGACTTGATGATTAAAATGTGCAGCTGCAGAACACCTGGGCTGTGCATTCCTCAAAAGCTCATTCCCGCACTTACTGGGAACAGAGAGGGCTATAGGATGGCACTTTTTTGTTGTTTCATTTTGCCTTATTTAAGAGGATTTAATTGACTTTGCAGCTTTGTGTATTCCCCTTTGTGGCTCTTAATACACAAATTACTGGAAAGATCCGGGGATCAATGACAAAAGCTGACACGGAGGAATGTTTCTGTTGTGATTTGACGAAGTAGAACACTGTTGATTAGAAATTTGCTTAAAATCTGTCACGTTTCTTTGAATGTGTATTATGTCATCAGCTAACCAAGAGTGATAAAAAATCAAACCTTGTCTCTATCTGAAAAAATGACTCACAATTTAAAGATAAGAACGTTCGTTCTAAGACATGGCCTAAGACTTAACTTTTTTAACCATTTAAGTTTGGCGTTTAAGAACGATACTTTCCCTTGTTTAACTAGAAGGAAACACATACTTACCATATTTTCATTTCCCAAACAAGGTTCCTGCCAAACAGAGGCAAGTTCTGATTTATAAAGTAAAAGGAATGTGATCTACAGCAGAGCATTAGAAGCAGCGTGGCTGTTTACCCTGCGGGAGTCATGCAGGTGAGACTCTAATGCGAGACCCAAACGCTGATCTTGCTGCTCCACCCCCTAATTCACACCCGGACTTATTCACCTCTCTGCTGCCCCTTTTCAACATTTGCGTGACCCAGTCATCTGGCTCTGTTACAAACTGCAAAAGGACAATCCTGGGCAAATTATGTAAACAGTCAGTGCCTCTTTTATCTCATCTGTAGCATGGGAACAATAGTGCATGCGCGTCATGTGGCCACTGTAGGCATTGCATGAGTTCAAAGCACAAATCGGGCCTGGAACAGGACAAATTCTGCAGCAGTGTTAGGTTCTGTGATGAGGTTTATCACTGCAGAAACTTGCAGTCGTGTTTCTGGAGTAGCATTAGGGTAGCCCACTTAATTTTCAATATAACATTTTGTATTATTGTCAATAGACTTGGAATTTAGAAAAATGTATCACTTCAACAAATATTTGTGGACTGTGATGCAGCTGACTTGGTATCAACAAATCAGAAAGCTTTCACTAATTTATAATCGTGCCTCTCTTTCCAACATTCAGTCTTTCTCTTATTTTCTCTGTGATCAGTGATATTCATATCTTACGGGGATATTAGCCTTACTTGCATAAGGTAGGTCTACAAACATGATCTCTTTTTCCTTGTACGTTTTTAATGAGAATTCTCAGGTTATCAACTAAGGGACTAGAATACAATTCCTTTTTTAAAACTTTTTACTTAGGCCTTTTGTAGGCTCATGCATTCCTATTGCCAAAGACCTCACCTCTTGGCCCAGCTCACGGCGTTAGAAGCATAGTGTCCTGGCTTCTGCTCTTTCTCCACAGTGGCTCTTGTCTGCACACAGTTTTGAACTTGGGGTAAACCATTCTCCTTCCACAGATACCCATTGATTTTCAGCTCTTTGAGGCAATAAAGTGGCATCTGCTAAATGCCTTTGTCTATACTTATACAATAGATTAGAGATATATGTCACAAAACATGGACATTTGCTTGACTGAATACTCCTGGACTACATCCTTTCAACTTAAATAGGAAGCTGAGAACAGAAACATCTTATTTATTTATTTATTTTTTAGCATTACTGTTTGCCAGAAACTTTATTTCATTGTATGCTTACACTAACCTTGATATTATTCTTCCTGAATAGATGTGGCATCTAAGGTTATAGATCTCCTATCATAGGTGTAAAATTGTATATCTCACCCTCAGCTGTCGCAGATTGTGAAGCCAGACTCCTGACTCTTTGCTGTATTTTCAGTGTTTCTTCCAATTTATTTATTACCTCCTTAGGAAAACAAATGTGGCAGCAAGCTGAAAATACGGTGCAAAATGAGGATGGAAAGCTATCATTGGATTCTGCCTTCTCAGTAATTTGCTGTCAGTAATGCAGAAAACACTTGAAAGCAGGATCCACAGTGCCTCGTTGGCTGGGTTAGATGATGGAATCTGAGATGTTAGTTTGCTGCCATGAGTCAGGAAAGCCACATAGCTACGGTCACCACTTGCATGTGACGTTCCGTCATTTTTTGTTTCAGACACAAATACATAAAAACTGTGTTTCCCCTGACAAAGGGTTTTAGAGCACAGGGTCACCACACTGAAACCGTGCCCACTGCATGGGTTCTTATATCTGTGGGACTGCCGGATTGATGGAAGCGGAAATTCCAGGCAGTGACGTTATGAGAAAATAAAGGATGTCAGCTGCCTTGCAAGGTGAAGAGAGGAAACAGAGCAGGGACATCTCAGGGCACCCTGTGACGGAATGCAGCATTTCCCATGATTGCGTGGAGGCCGCTGCTGACGAGGGACCAGCTGGTGCTTTGTAATTCAACAATTGTGAGCAGAAATGTCAGAAAGACTGGGAAGCAGAGCTGCAGAACCTTATCCACTGGCTCATCTGCTAAGTGCGGGGCACAGGCAACAGCATGAATGAGGCTAGGGAACCTAGAACTGCAGAGTATTACACTGTTGCTTCCAGAATGTAGAAAGAGACACAGTCAAGTTCACAAAACGGGGCAATGTCGGAAGTGAGAAGAGCCCGGAGATGAACTGAGTCAAACTTGGACACTCTGTCTTTATAGCCGTATGTATCATTTCTGGCATACTCTCCAGCTCCCCTTGGGTGAGTTGCTGAGTTAGCGGCAAAGCAGGAACTGGGCTCTGCTTATCTTATTCCTGGCATGGTCACCACAGTCAAGATTCAGTATTCAATACAACATTGCCATTTTCCTTTACGGCTACATTAATTACACATCTGAAAAAGAATCATACCCCCTTCAAAAACTGTTAATAACACGTTACAAGTCATTTTACAATTGTAATAAATGGTATGCACTTGCTACGAGATTTGTTCACCTTGTCATAGCAGAAAAATGAAGGCAAATACCATTTCTAAGATTTTGAGAAGAGGATAGAGTATACACCTTTCATAAAGTTTTTGAGAAAAATCTTAAGTCTAATTTGATGTTAATTTCTCATTTCTCCATAAATACACATGCACATACATACATTCCCTACTCTCTCACTATACGTGTATGTGTGTATATTCCCATAAAAATGCATGCATATATATTTGATTATATGTATATATTACTATGGACGTATATATCTATTGTGTGTGTGTATATGTAAAGGATTTTTTTTTTCTTTTTTGAGACAAGGTCTCGCTCTGTTGCTTGGGTTGCGGTGCGCTGGCACAATCGTGACTCATTGCAGCCTTGACCTCCTAGGCTCAAACGATCTTCCCACTTAAGCCTCCCAAGGAGTTGGGAACACAAGTGTGCACCACCATGACTAGCTAATTTTTTTTTTTTTTTTGGTACTCTCTGTAGAGACAGGGCTTTGCAGTGTTTTCCATACTCCTTGGCCCAAACTGCTGGGCTCAAGCAAGCCACTTGCCTTGGCCAAATTGCTGGGATTACAGGTGTGAGCCACTGTGCCTGGCCTAAGTAAGGGATTTTAAAAACATTAGTACATAAGCATTCCTGCTTACGTGTCTACCTGATTTCTGTAAATATTCAATTCAAAAAGCTGATTTATAACTGGAAGTAGATTTTTAACCATCGTATTTCTATATTACCATCATAGAGCATTCTCTTGAGAAAGTGGGAATAATGTTGAAAGTGTATGGTGTTCCTTCTTCTCCAAAGATGTAAGAACTATGTTAGCTACAGTTTTATAAATTATCCAATTTCAAACAATTATCGTTGATATTTTTCTATACAATTTCCTGTATATTACCCATATAAATCTGGACTTTGGGAAAGTTCTTAATAAAGGGAAAAAAATTAAAGCATAGTCAAATGAAGGTATCGAGCTAAACACATTGATTACGTTAAAATGACCCCCTAGCAAACCACAAGCAGGAAGGATTGTAACTGCTTACACCTCCCATTGATTTTATGCAGGCAAAACTTATCTCTGCTGATAGACAAATGGACTTCTCTGCCCTCTAATATTTAATGTGTGCCTGCAATAGAAAAGGTACATGGAAATATAATTGATTCATGCTATATATATAAAAAAACTTCGAACAATTATTTTTCATATAAAATAAGCATTTGCAGAAGAAATGTGGCACTAGGAAAAAGCTACAGTCTTCCTCTAGTATTTACCCGCTGTTAATTTATCTGTGTGAGCTTGAGGAAATCAGTTGGATTTTTTTCACCTATAATGTTGACATAATAATAATGATGCCACAGATTCTTGATAACAAAGTGAAACTACATGTCACAATCCATGAGAAACATATCTGACAAGGATAACATTTTAATTCCCCATGTTAATTTAATGTTATGGTATAAGTCTATGATAAAGTTTCACTACCAAAATCTTCCATTTGGTTCACTTCTGTATAATGTGTTTGTTAAACTAGATATGGGTGATTCAATATCTTATTGCAATTACAAATGTCTCAGAATTTATTTATATTTTTAAAGAGTATTTTTCTTGGTCAGCAGGATCTAGAAACTGAATTGTAGTTAATGTCTCACTGTAAATAAGTGATTTATCTCTTGAAGCATTGATCTTAGGATCTATAACAAGGCAAATGATTTACACATGCATGGTCTAAAGTAGTCTGAATATTTTAGCTTTCCAAGTAAACTTCACCGTATTTATACTTGATATTACAAGAAGAGGTTATGGTAACAGAAAGGATTTTGCCTGAATTCCTTTGCTTTCAAAGATTGGCTCTTCTAATGTATTTGGTGAACAGGGATCCTAATATCTTCTGCTGGGAGAAGGATGCAAGTTGCACCCTGGCACCACCCGTAAACTTAGCTGTAGGCTCCTCAACCGTTTTATTACGTCTGCATATGGGACACAATTTCTCTTGCATCATTTCTCCAAAATAATGTCTAGTCCTGTATCTGGAAGACTTTTACTGAAAGTTTGGACGTTGCAGACTGTAATTAAAGCACAGGAGAGGGAACAAAACATTGCTCTTTCTCAGGCGTTTCTCAGCAGGACATTTTTTTATATTTATAATCCATATTGTTAAGGTTATTCTGTCCCTCCCTGTCTTCTCCCAACACCTCTGCAAGTGCGCAAACTACACATTTAAATGATCTTTTTAGATAAAGCAGGTTGGTTTTTGAAATTCCTTTTTAATCTGCATTCTGAATCTGCTTTCCACACCCTAAGGTTCTAAACCAAATGCTAAACACTCCTTATCTGCACCCTAACCATTTGGAAAACTGGAAGAATATTGGAATTGCAGTTAATGCTTGTTGTTTGGTTTGTTTGCTTGTTTTACCTGTACCTGAGTTATGAATCCTTCAGCAGGGTCATGTTAATTCATTACACTTGGAAGAACAGAAAGAGAAATTCTGCCTTCTAGAAGATATCTCTGTTGTGAAAAATTCTGTTAGCTGAAGTTCTAAGCCCCGGTAAAAGGCACTGAAGTTGTCAAAAGCCTGCCATCCAAAGATAAGAGAGTCCACATTACTTCCAAAGGTAGCCAGGCACAAAAGACAGCTGCAGACACTGAGTTAGAATGGCACGGGTTAGAGAATTTAGAGATGTCCTTCCTAACAGGGAGCTGAGGAAGCTTGGAGACTTCTACATCTGGGGAAAGGGAATGCAGGCTGGAGGGAGGTGCATGATGGAAAAATGGCCCTGTTTTCCTGGGGCCGATCCTGTGACTACAAGACAGATGCCTCAGGACATACCTGGATTTTGTCTATCCTCAAGATATCACAGTTTATTCCTTAAAATACACAATGTGGAAAATACACTCCCTTAAAAAACAAACGAGTTCATTTTACTTACATTAACTTCTTCACCCACAGCAACACGTGCCTTTTACGTGCAGCGTTGAGGATATTTTAAAGGCATCCATCAGTCTCTCTGACTTCTCTGTGACAGTGCTGAACTTTGTGTACCACATCACAGAATTTCCTGTTGTTCACAATTTAACAAAACACCAAGAGGTAGATTACTGAACATTAGAGTGGACCTGGGTCAGCTTACAAATAATCATTATGCATTTAATTTATAAAGAGAATGAACCAATTAAAGTGGTATTTTAATAGGAAATTCTCAAGTGACCTTCCCTGAAGCAACTACGACACATCCAGCAAGGCCTGGCTGGATGCTTGGAGTTGAGGTTATTTGGAAAATGTTTCTGTTGGAGCTCAGCATCACTCAGCATTGTTTATTCCTTCAGTGTAGCACTTAGCATCCTCCATTCTGTAGGTGTTGAGCTAGGATGATTCTACAGACAGAAGGACCAGTTGTTTATTTCCCTTTTAGCATAAATCTGGTTCGGATTTTGATCTGTACTTAGAATTAAATATTTTTGGTTAGTATTGAAATGGTAGTTCCCTGAGTATTTACAGTCAAGATTCCAGATAGAGTAATCCTTCAAATATATTGGAAGATTTCCTTTTATTGGCCCTTATGTAGAAATACCGTTCAAATATTGCTCAGAGCTATGGCAGTTACCACCTAAGATATATTGGTTTTATTATACCAAAGTGTATCTTTTTAGAAATGCAAACTGGAGTGATGTTTTAAAAATTCTCAGTGAATATGTGAAAGCTTATCTTTACTTTTTTTAGGAATATGAAAATTACGGGCTGGGCATAGTGGCTTATGCCTGTTATCTCAGCAGTTTGGGAGGCCGAGGTGGACGGATCACCTGAGGTCAGGAGTTCGAGACCAGCCTAGCCAACATGGGAAAACCCTGTCTCTACTAAAAATAGAAAAATTAGCTGGGTGTGGTGGTACACGCCTGTAATCCCAGCTACTTGGGAGGCTGAGGCAGGAGAATCGCTTGAACCTGGGAGGTGGAGGTTGCAGTGAGCAAAGATTGTGCCACTGCACTCCAGCCTGGGCAACAAGAGTGAAACTCCATCTCAAAAAAAAAAAAAAGTTAATATGAAATGTTTAATTACAGGTGAAGTTAGGTAGTCTGAAAAGTGCAGATGATGGTGAACTATGTTGGGAATGGAATGCAGGCTGTGTCTCTCGACCATGTGCCATCTTTCCCAGGACACAAGCCAAAGGCAGCATGAGGGACTGAATCATGACATCCCTTCCCAATGCACCTGTTGAAATTCTAAACTCAGGGTGATGGCATTAGGATGTGGAGCCTTTAGGAGGCAAGGAGGTGATGAGAGTGGAGCCCTCGCTGTGGGCTGAGTGCCCTTACTAGAAGAGACACGAGGGCACGCTCCTCTCTCTGCCATCCACAAGGTGAGGATTCCAGGAGCAGCTACTGTCTACACACAAGGCTCTCACCAGACCAGACAGCTGGTCTCCTAGAGCTTGAATGTCTCAGCCTCCAGAACTCCAAGTAGCCAATGCGTTTTTTTTTTTAATTATACTTTAAGTTTTAGGGTACATGTGCACAATGTGCAGGTTCGTTACATATGTATACATGTGCCATGTTGGTGTGCTGCAGGAATTAACTCATCATTTAACATTAGGTATATCTCCTAATGCTATTCCTCCGCCCTCCCCCCACCCCACAACAGGCACCGGTGTGTGATGTTTCCCTTCCTCTGTCTATGTGTTCTCATTGTTCAATTCCCACCTATGAGTGAGAACATGTGGTGTTTGGTTTTTTGTCCTTGTGATAGTTTGCTGAGTTTTTCATTTTGTTTTAAAGTTGCCCAGTCTATAGCAACTTATAACTTACAGTTAGTTATAGTGGTCCCAGCTGACTTAGGCAGGAGCTGTTATTGACTCTAAGTTGAGCTTCACCCAGAGCATGTCACGCGCATCAAAGATGCCATCTGTGTTATGTTTTTCAAGAGAAAAGTCTTCCTCCTGCTTGTATATTTCTTTACCGTAAAGGTCATAGAACAGACTATGGGAAACAATCATGGAACCCGTGGTTTTAAGACCTAACCTCTACTCAGGGCTTTGGTGCATCTTCTGTGGGTTTCTACCTGGTGCACCCCAGAGTTTGTGCTGCAGGAGCCTCCGAGGCTTTGAGAAGAATCACATGCAGCCCCTGATTCCATGAAGCTCAGCTACCATTTCCAGACCAGAGAAGTCTTTCTGATGATGTGTCTTCCTGCCCGGCTTTGGAGTCGGCACATTGGGTCAGGCTCTGATCTCACATGGCAAGTCCATGGCTTGCCGGGGGTTGTTAACCTAGGTGAGCTTCAGTGTCTGCATCTGAAACCTGACCATGGTGATGTCAGATATTTCAAAGAATGGGGTTCCCATGAGCCAGCACTCAGAGTAACCTTCATGCACTACATGCCACATGTCCAGCTGCATTAGGGAACCGATATTATTTATTAGGGTCATTATCATTATCCAGAAACAGGTTTATACATGACTAATTAAAATGCCTAAGGAGGAGGGCTCTAATGGAGACAGGAACAGATTGTGGTGGGAGCACAAAGGCAATCATGTAGGGTATTGAAATGAGGCGTGGGACTTTCCAGAAGGTAGGTGGAAAAGCCATTCTAGACAGGGCAGCATGTGGGGAAGGCAGTGTGGAGGAGAGCACAGCCACTGAGGACTGAGGGAAGAAGGGTGGGGCGCAATAGACAGGTGAGCATACAGAAGGCTTCCCCTTCCCCGCTGGGAACTTTGTATGGAATTACGCAGGTGAGGAGGAGCCGCTGAAGGATTCGAGGTAGGCAGCAGTCAAATCATGCGTGCTTTCTTTTTCAGTAGTTGTGTGAGGGAGTGTTGCCTGGTGGTGGGGGCAGGGGGGGAGAGTAGAAGAAGAATCATGTGAGGGTAACTGAGGAAGAGATTGGTCAGGAGGGGATGGTTCTAAACAGTCATTGGAGTGAGGACAGCTGGAGTTAGGGCAGGAGGGTGAAGGAAAAGCCCAGAAAACCCCCGATCTCTGACTCTCCTGGCCTCTGAGTGGATGGACAGGAAGTGCTGGCGGAGCTCTTACCTGATGAAGATGCCTGATGCCGGTGAGGTGAGTTGACTTCCTTAAAGTTCAGTGTGTCTGGCCGGTGCGGTGGCTCACACATGTAATCACGCCGGCACTTTGGGAGGCTGAGGCGGGCGGATCACGAGGTCAGGAGATCGAGACTATCCTGCCTAACACGGTGAAACTCGTCTCTACTAAAAATACAAAAAATTAGTCGAGTCTGGTGCCGGGCGCCTGTAGTCCCAGCTCCTCTGGAGGCTGAGGCAGGAGAATGGCGTGAACTCGGGAGGTGGAGCTTGCAGTGAGTCCAGATCACACCACTGCGCTCCAGCCTGGGGGACGGATCGAGACTCTGTCTCAAAAAAAAAAAAAAAAAAAAAAAAAAAAAAAAAAATGTGTCCATATAAACATTTAGACAGATAATAATGGAGCTTCCTTCCCTGGAGTTGTGGTGTTTTAACCAGAGAACACACACTGTGCACATCACAACGTCTGAGGAACTGGGTAAACAGCCTTTTCAACATTGTTAACTCTACACTTACTGCTGAGACACATCCTGGGTACACGTCTTTGGAGTCTGCTGTGCCACATTATCAACCCCGAATTGCCAGCTCTGCAAGTCGATGTTGGGCTGAAGCTTATCAGAATGAATCCACCTGCTTTGGATGTGTCAGACACCAAGCAGAGGCTATGGCACTGTGCCGACTGCACTACGCGAATTACTGCCTCGAGTGGATGAGGGTCCTGGGAGAGGTTTTCTCCAAGTTCATGTTTCCAAACGATATCACCCTTTTTTTGAGAATCGACTTGGCCAGCGGAGTATGAGGCTGGATTATATGTCACCCATCATATGTAGGCTCTGAATTCCTCACCGACTGCCATTATGTTGGTGTGTGGGAGGCAGATACATGCAATTGCCTCCCTCAAGTGTCTGCAATGTTGCTAAGTGTTCACTCCCCAACAGATTTTTTTTGAATACCTAGTTAGTGCAGGGTACAAAATTTGCACCCTGTCTACAAATGACAGCGGTAACAAGAAACAGCGTGGTCAGTCTTACAAACAATGGGGCCAATCATGTGCCAAGGGATGAGCATTGAGCAAGACATGATTTTGAAAACTCAACAAATTCAAAGCTGGTGTGAACGGCTCTGCTTCCTGGAAGCCATTCCAACCCTTGCATTCCTCATACAGAAAAACTCTTCATGGTGCGAGCTGACGCAGAACCTGCAGGGAATCAGTGTTGACTTTGGTTCCTTGGGACAAGTCAAATATATGTTCTTCATTAAGAAATGCGGAATGTGGCCAGGTGTGGTGTTGTGAGGCTGTAATCCCAGCACTTTGAGAGGCCAAGTGGGCAGGATCGCTTGAGCCGAGGACTTTGACACTAGCCCATGCAACATGGTGAGACCGTCTCTCCACAAAAAATAATAACAATGTAATAATAAAGAAATTCTGAATGGGATTCAAGATGACAATGTTTGAGGGTGACAGGGCTCACATGCCGTCTAGTTTACCGTATATATTTCAATACAAAAAATATATAGTAACCTGTAGATTAAGTCACTTTTCCCAGATTAAGTCACAATTGCCCAAAGAAGACTATAGTATATAATGTTTGGGACATTTTTCCAGATCTTTCTGACATATTGGATCATTTTTTTCCTCAAAAAATGGTGAGTACCATAAAGTTCTCAACAAGAAAGCATTGGAAGTCTAACTCTACAAGTTCCAGTTATACCTGTCCAGGTCATGAATGTCCTATTTGGAAAAGAGGATCTGTACTCAATATAAACACGTACTAGTGTTTTAGTAATTGAATGAATGGGTTCGTGCCTTTTATTACATGTGTCTAAACTATTATATCTGCGCCATGTAATTATATTCTTAACCAAGTTACATTTTTAACATCCTTAAATCTTTGTATTTTAGAAACATTTAAAAATATTTTAAAAGCGGAAAAGTAGAAGATAATTATTATTTATATAAAGTAGAGAACGTTTTATGAAACAAATGCTATCCTCCCTTCTGTTTTCAAGTTAGAAATGATTTCTGGGGTCTCTGCTTCACTCCACTCACTGATAGAGTCTGAAAGCCTATTTTTTAGTTCTATTTCAGCTTCTCCCAGGGACACAATTCCCCTGGTTCCCTGCATTGTGAATGATTGCGAATGTTGCTTTTTGGTGATGCAACTCTTACTGACAACCTGGTAAATCCATCATTCCTGTTCTCCTATGTCTGAGAAGTCTCTAGAAAGTTGGAAGAGGTCAATGAGGAAATCTCCACTCTTTGCCGAGTATGTAAAACCGCACAGTCGGGACATAGAGGTCCTGCTGATTATCTCCTGATAAAAAGAAGCTCCAGACAAACAAGAACAAGCTTGTCTTCACCTCTTTTATGACTTAACAGTAGCTGAGCAATCCAGATAACAATTAGGAGACTCTAACCAGATTCTGGAGGGAAGGGGTAATGAGGTGAAGCATTTAGACTGGAGCCCTCAAGCGGATATCCATTTGCAGAATGGGATATGCTCATGGAGCAGTTGAAACTAGAGAAATGTGATTCTTCACTTCAGATTTTTCCTGGCAAAACAGAAAAGATAAATTAAGTTCTAAAAACACACCCTTATCAGAAAATTACAGAAGAAAGAAGAGAAGTAGAATGAATATGGCCAGGACATGTTTAAGTGGGGTATCCTGTTTAAGTGGGGTGAGTGTGAGGCAGAATAAGGTCTTGAGGCAGGGAACTTACGGCCAGTTTGTGCTGAATCAAGGAAGAAGCCCAAGATCTAGGGGCAGGAGGTCTAAGGCCAATTCGTGCTGTCTTCCCAAAGCTGTATCAGAAGGGAAACATCTGGGTCTGGGGGCAGGGAACCTAAGCCCAATTAACTCAAACTTTCTAAAGTTAATGGAAAGGAAAAACTTCCGTCTCCCCATTTCCTAACAACAAAGGATCAAAGGCTGCTTTCTCTATAGCCCTCCTCCTTCCACCGTGTCTCAGATGGAAAGGGAGAGTGCCTTGGATTGGCTATGGGCCAAGCACTGGCCATCCCTTCATCTGCAACACGGGCCAATTCACCCCAGCCTTTAATTAGCCAGGGACCAAATTCTTCATCCAGATAAGGGGTAACTGAGAGGGACCTCAAAATAAGTACTTAAATCCCAGAAAACTGTGTAACTAGGCCCTGGAACAGCTTGCTTGGGCCCCCTCCCACCCTGTGAAGTGCTTTCTGGCTTTAATAAATCCCCCCTTTCACAGCTTCCTTCCTATGTTTCTTTCCTTTGTTACTTTGTGTATCTTATCCAATTATTCTAAATGCCAAGAACCTGGAGAACTCACAGTCAATGCTCTCCTTCCGGTATCAGGTGTACCCTCAGAGTGCCATGGGCATCACAACTAGTTAAAGGGGTTGACAACTGTGGGTCATATCTAAGCCTTACAAGTATACAATATAGATTTGATATAAACTTAATATCAACTTCTTCTTTAGTTTAACCAGCTTTAACTATGAGCCATATATTAAACACCTCCTGTAATAAAACAAATTTACCAAAGGTATCCGAACTTTCAGCCTGGGTTCCACCTAATTAACTTAGTCTGTAGCAAAAAAAAAAAAAAAAGGGATAAGACGTCATTATATTTCAGCAGCCCATGAATCAGATTTGAAGAACTGGAAATAAAAAGCAATACTACAAAGCTGTGGCCTGAAGGAGAAATTTCTTTGAGGACAAATGGAAAAAGATAGTGCTAACCCTATAAGAGGGTTTAGACCACACCGTTCTGTGGACAGGGAAACATTCTCAGCACTTACCTGTTTTGAACACTCACATTTGCTAGTGCATTTGTTTCTCTAGAAATGCTAATTCCAATCCTCCATAGTTTCCCAAGTTAATAGATGAAGATATCATGTCACTAAACTTGCTTCATTGTGTTCATTTTGTTTGTGTGATTGGGTTGGAATTGGACACTAGTTCCTAAATGGAGAGCATTTTTTTTTTTTCAATCAGTTTGAAAACTAAGCATCTGATAGTTTCTGGGTATTTCTGTTTATGATGCAAATACTTCAACATATGACCTAAAAATAATTTCTCCTATTGTGTTGTCAGCTACTAATCATATTATCAAATGATGATATTAGAAACAGCACAACAATTTAAGAAATCATTTTCCTCTGTTAGGCTTTTAAAAATAAATACGAGACTTTGTTGAAGCCTGTTTTGCACTAATGAAGTGATTGGCAAGTTCAATGTAATCTCACGTTGTGTCAGGTCTGGCCTCTAGGAATGCCCTAAACCTCAGCCACCCAATAACTGCAAAGAAGCCACGGCCAGAATCAGTTACTGTTTTCTCTCTCATTTGCAATTAAATACAGAGCCAGTGCTGCTAAGCTAGCAATTGAAAAAAACGTGTTTTTCTACCATATAATAAAAATGGTCATTTTAGTGTCTGAACATGTTGCTAAACTTAGAATTCATCTAGAACAGCTCCTTTTTCACGAGCTTGTGAATTTAGCAAATAACAAGGTAGATTATTCTCAGAGGAGTAGAGGGAAACTAGTTCTGTTATGGTAGCAGGCAGAAATATTGACCCAAAGAAAACTGTCCTCTCCCTGAGGCCTCTAATATTTGCCTACAGCCAAATATCATAACCTCGTAGAGTAGGCTAATGAGGTGGATAAAGATAGCAAATCTTTGGGAGCATGAAACATTACCTTATACCAAGAGTAGAAGGAAAACCCTGTTGTATTAGTAAATTAAGTATCACTATAATTTGGCTAAATATAAAAAATGTTTTAATCTGGTGATTATCTTGAGTCATGATGGTATTCACCAGTATCATTTTTAACATATGTTTTACATATGTGGATATCTGCTAACAAATGTTGCTTCAAACATTAGGGAATGTTCCAGTATGGAGTTATTTTTTTTTCAACTTATATATTCAAACATTTAAAACATCTTTGAATATAGAAGTTTTGGAACATCATTGAATATATAAGTTGAGAGAAATTTAATGTCATAATTTATAAACAAATTAACACCATGATGTTATTTTGGATAGCATAGCAAATATCACACTCTAAGAAGTTCTCATGTTTTCTTTCCTCCTTGTAGGATTGGTACTCTCAATATCTAAATGGTACTGTTAGTCACGATAAATGATGAATTATATGTTCAGTTAGTCATTGTAAAATAGAGTTCACAATATGTTTCACTTCTGTGTATTGTCGATGGCATGGGATGAATCACTGTATCCGTTTTTAGTTGCAAGATTATTAGATCAGAATTGCCTGCTCTCCAAAATTTAAGCAATTTCTGGAGAAGTTTAGAGATCTGGAGATTTAAAAAACTTGTGAATTAGGGTGAAAATATAGTGGAGGAATCGTTACAACTCCATTTCTTAGTACAGTTACTCGTTCTGTACAGGTTTGTAAGAGCTTCTTAACCCCTTTGTTTGTACATGTGTGAAAATGTAGCGAATAACTCTCAGGATTATTGTGAAGACCAAATGGCATATTGTATACAAAAGCAGTGTTAAACCGTGAAATGCTATCTAAATGATAGGTATCACTGTGTTTCCTTTGTTTAGCCAAATCTTTCTTTAGCTTCTTGGTATTCTTGGAGCATACAAGCTTCATGAGCATACTTCTCTGAACAGTAGTAGCTTCATTTCCCCTTAATTTCCATCTTGGGAATTACGGATTTTTCACTACCTGAAGGTCGCTGGAATTTCAGCATCAAGCTTATTCTTCAGTATCTTGTAAATGTGAAGGTTTCCAGTCTTTCTGATAGATCACAAGGCTGGGAATAATTTTTTGAAACTGTGAGAGACACGTTCTGTTACTTATTGGAGCTCTCTTGGAGGAAACATAGGTAAGTGAGACCTATGAGATCTGAAAATGGGAAGTTTGTAGATTTGGGGGATATTTTATAATTTGTTAGAACTAAATAGATGAAACGGCAATGTTTGTAAGGAATATTACCTGTCTTTCTGTCTGCCTAAATCTTTTATGTTTTCTTCCCATTTATTGAGATACGAGGACTTTTTGTTGTTGGTGTTGAAGTTTTTGTTAGCAGTAAGTCGGCCCTACTGAGCCTGTGCATTGGCGATCAGCAATCTCCCAAATGCCCTCTTGGGCAGAGATTTGATTTGAAACCTGGAGTGAGGGTGCTGAGCCCATTTACACGCTTAGAAAATCAAAACCACCCTAGGGGAGAGCAAAGCTGGAGGGGAGGAGATGAAGATACTTAGAGTGGGGAAGACTTACAGATTGTCCAGAACACCATCCATGGGTTTTCTACTCTATTATTATTATTTTTAATTGAGACAGGGTCTTGCTCTGTTGCCCAGCCTGGAGTGCAGTGGCGCAATCATGGCTCACTGCAGCCTTGACCTCTTGGGTTCAAGCAGTCTTCCCACCTTAGCCTCCCTAGTAGCTGAGACTACAGGTGCACACCACCACACTCAGCTAATTTTTGTTTGTTTGTTTGTTTGTTTTTGAGATGGATTTTGTTGCTTATACTGGAGTGCAAATGTTTGATCTTGGCTCACGGCAACCTCCACTTCCCAGGTTCAAGCAATTCTCCTGCTTCAGGCTCCGAAGTAGCTGGGATTACAGGCATGTGCCACCATTCCCAGCTAATTTTGTATTGTTTTAGTAGAGATGGGATTTCACCATGTTTGTCAGGCTGGTCTCAAACTCCTGACCTCAAGTGATCCACCCGCCTTAGCTTCCCAAAGTGCTAGATGACAGGCTGAGCCTTCATATCCAGATGAATTTTTGTTTATTTGTTTTGTGGTTTTAGATACGGGTTTTTGCTATGTTGCTCAGGCTGGTCGCAAACCCCTGGGCTCAAGGAATCCTCCCGCCTTCACCTCCAAAAGTGTTAGGACTATAGGCATGAGTAACTGTACCTGGCTATTGTCTTATTTTTAATAATCAAATGTGTCTTCTATCCTTCCAGGCAAATTGAGGTCAGGGAGAACTATTTACCTCCTACCTGCAACCCCTGCCCACATAAACATAGTTTCACCTGCCCTTGCTGCCATCCACACTTCCTTTTATCCATCCTCTGAAGATGAGGTGTCCTCCCTTCCACCCTTGCTTCTGATGAACATGCTGATCTAAAATTTCCATCTGATCACTTTGTTCTTCTGCTCCAAGGCCCTCTGTGGAATGTCCAGTAAGCCTGTAGAACACTGAGCTCAGTGTGCAAACATCTAAGTGATTGTGCCCTGCTGGGTTCTTTGTACTCATCTACTCAAGCATCACTCGGGGCTTCCCACCAAAATCATCATTCTAACATTTGCAAATGGCACTGTTTGGCATCCCTTTGCCCTTGCATCTGCTGGTCCCACTATTCCAAATGCCCTTCCTCTGCTCCTTGTCCCCTTGATGCCCACTCAGTTCCATAGGCAGCTCAGGGAGCTATATGCAGATCGTCGTGCAGGATGAGTGCCACTCCCCTGAGATCCACAACACTGAATGCAGACCATTCATCCACGCCACCTTCCTCACTGGACTGTCCACGCCTCCAGGGCAGGCATAGAGTCTTCCTTCGTTCTTTACCTCCAGTGCTTAGCACAGCAATGTTCACTTAAAAGCAGCTCAAACACCACTGTGATACCCTCTACCTGGTCAAAAAATTTTCATTACGTTTGTAATAAATTTTCGTATAAGTATAACGACAGCTGTAAGACACAGGGTGCCAATTATGCAACACTTTACACTGATGCATAATGAAGCTAAATTCGCCTTTAAAGCACCACTAGGACACTCTTATTTTCCAGGAAGATACTGAAACTGAAACAGTTTAAGTAAAGGGTTTCATGTGATAAAACCAGTAGGAAATGGGTCCAGGATTAGAATCACAGGGGTCTTCATGTGTAGCTGTGTTGTGGTCGGTAAAAGACATTGTTGCTCTGTTTTTGGTGGCCCCAAGTCTGTCTCAGGTGCTGAAACATGCAGCATATGTCCTTTCTGCATGTGGCCGTACAGTCAACCCACAGCTCAGGAAAGATGCATGGCGAGTGTTCGACAATGTTTGTTAATATTCCAAATAAATAGAAGCTTGCAGGACTGGATTAAATTATTTGTATTAAATATAAATTAACCTTCCTATTAAATAATTCACAATATATTAACTTTATTCTCTATAGAATTTGCCTCAGGGGCAAAAAAATACCATTAAATGAAAGCCACTGTTCATAGTGTATTCTGATAATTAAAGATAACTAGTTGGTTTAGTATTTTTCCTCTAGTTAAATTGGCACTTAAAAAATGAAGAAATATTGAATTCATTACAATTTAACTTTGAAAAATAGAAATAATACTTTGAAAAGTCAACCTTAAGAGATGTTTTTTCCTTTGTTTAATTTTTTTTGTTTTGCTTTCTTGAATTTCTAAGAATCTAGGATCTGATCCAGGGGATTCTTTCTTAGATAAAATAGCCATCACTTTCCTCAAAATATGTCTCCTGAGATTTTGTACATTTTTAGTGGATGGAATGAAGGCACTTGTAGGCATTTCCTCCTGCGTTCTGTGTTTTTTTGATAGAAGGTGTTTTTGAGGCTGAGAGCTCAGAACTGGACGTAAGGAGGCAAAGTGCCAGAGCAGGTATCAGAACACTGACTCCTTGCCCCAGCTTTGCCACAACTCAAATGTGTAAATCTCAACTCTGAAGTGTATGATTCTGAAACCTGCATCTTGCCATTTAGTTTATGGCATAGCCAGGAGAAAAGGAAAACCCATCAGTTAGAGACCTGAAAAAAAAAAAAAAAAAAAATGTAAGGCTGCGCCTGTAATCCCAGCACTTTGGGAGGCCCAGGTGGGAGGATCATGAGGTCAGGAGATTGAGACCATCCTGGGTAACACGGTGAAACCGCGTCTCTACTAAAAAATACAAAAAAAAAAAAAAAAAAAAAAAAAAAAAAAAAAAAAAAAAAATTAGCCGGGCATGGTGGCGGGCGCCTCTAGTCGCAGCTACTCTGGAGGCTGAGGCGGGAGAATGGCGTGAACCGAGGAGATGGAGGTTGCAGTGAGCCGAGATTGCGCCACTGCACTCCAACCTGGGCGACAGAGCGAGACTTCATCTCAAGTAAATAAATAAATTAATTAAAAAAAATAATGTAAGGCATCCAAAAGGTAAAATAACACTAACTGAGTTTCTGACATAATGTAAGGGGAAAATTAATTTGGATTATAAGGCTTAGATTTTCCTTGAGAAATTTAGGAAAGTGTAATTTTATATAAAATACAACATCGTGAAATACAGTATCTTTATCGATGTGATCTCTTGTCTTACAGCTATATAAGAAGTTACTTTCAGTATGAATTTATATTGAAACTGCTTATAAAAATGTGATCAATTAACAGTTGTCTTTTTTGTATCTTACAAACCAACCAGTTCCATTAACATCAAATCTTGTAACCATCAAAGAAAACATAATACAAATGGAATATTAAACACTACCATAATATTTTTAAAAGGAAAAACAATGTTATATTCTGTAGTGAAAATTACCTTTTAAAATACTCTCTATTTTGACAATATATTTAATTTCATTATTAAACACAAGCGATAACTTTTGTTTTCTGTTCTTCATTAATCTATTTAGCATAAGAAGTTTGCATTCTCTATTCAACATGTCTGAGTTAGCCTGCAAGGTTAGCCTGAGTGCCACTGACACGTCCTATTTTGATTAAAATTAGACCATGTTTCTTTATCAATTTCTCATAGCTACCAGAAAAGAGGCATCATGGAGAATTAATTAAAGGCAACTGTTTCCAGGCAAGATGAGGCTAATGCTATTAGGTAGGAGGAAATGGATAACCTATTTACAGCATCTGTTATGAATGGCTTATTCTCTGTTCCACATTTTGAAAATTCTCCCAAAATAAGCAGACAACTAAGGGAAGTAGCAAAGGAAGTTAGAGCCCGAAAAGCCAACCAACTGTGATCATGTTGTAAAAATACACAGCTGCTTGGTTTCTCACTGTGCCCACATTTATTTGTTTCATTGATATAGGCTGAATATTGGTTTTGATGATATTTTAATCTAGTACTTGGGAGAAAGAGTGGCTGTGACTGTTTTCTTTGTTAAGTTTCTGTTCTCTGAAATTCGTAAATAATCACAAAGCAAACCTAGAGTTTGTCAAACATTTGGATGTCAGGATCCCTTCACAATCTTACAAATTATTGAGTCCAACAAACTAATCATTATAAAAGTCAAATAATTCACATGCACACCTTTCAAGAGCCGTTGGCTTGATGGCTACATAAGATGTTACGTAGTCTCTGAAGACTCACAGCACACTTGTGAGACAATAAGAGGAAAAAAGGAAAATGCTGTCTCACTATTTTTATGGAAATATATTCAACCTCTCTTGCTGGCTGGAATTGGCATCTTCTGAAATACTGTAAATTAGAGGCATTTTGCATCTTTTGCTGAGAGTCATTGAAGAGCATGTTTGCTATTGCTGTAGTGGACAGTAATATAATAGCATCCAGTTCTTTGGTTTGCTAACACACAGAGGCATTTTTCAAAAGGGATGCTTGCTGAGAACCAGTTTTATGTTATTTATTTCAAGGGACCCTCCAGTCAAGTTGCAGGCAGGCAGCTTCATTTGTGCTCAGCGATGAATATTTTATTATCACTAACAGATCAAGATAGTGATAAAATCTGGAAGCTAAAAAAAGATGGTCCCTGTGTGTTCCTGACTGTGTTCAAGTTACAATCTGTCAAGTCTGGTTCAATAGTTCATTTCTATATATGTGATCAATTTTTGTGTTCACATAGCTGTTCTTTTGTGTATATCGTATCTTTTCTAAGAAAACAGTATAGTTATAGCAGTTCTTTTTGAGAGGTCCTTTGGAAAGTTTCCTTCAAAGGAAGTCCTTTTGCTGAGTCAGTTCATTTTTTTTCTCTTGCCAAGTGCCATTTAAAATTCTTCTTTGGTTTTTACCCATAATATTTTTTGAAATTGAATTCAATTTGTGATGAAAATGACTAGGACTTCCACAGTATTTGACTTAACACCAATAGTTTAGAAAGCCCAATCCAGGGAAAACTAACATATGCTAAATAAAACATCCCAAATCATTGCAATTTATCAGAACATTTTTCTTATTAGATTTAAAAAAATGCCAATTTGTAGTTACATCTATCCCATTGTTTAAAAATGGATATTAACTAGATTTTTATTCCTATCATTAATCAGTTTCTCTTTCTAGTTTACACAGCAATTCTTTAAATGATAAATTGGTGACTGAATTATATTATTACAATAATAATATCCTGACTAATAAGCAAAATATCCAAATATTTTGGTTTCTTCTTCATATATTATCCCAAACATCTTTGAACTATTAACAGTGCAAACTAAATTTTCCTCTTGATATTTTAAGAATCAAAACTCATTTCTTCTTATTTAATATTTGTTTCCAATCTGAAACATAACTGTTTTTTCTCAGGCTTTCCTAAAGCTTTGGTTTTATATGTGGGGATATTTAGTGTGTAAGTTATATTCATTTTGCTTCTGATAATTTCCGTCCTTCCCTCCTTCCCCTTCCTTCCCCCTCTTTCCCTCTTTCCCCTTCCTTCCCCCTCTTTCCCACTTTCCCCTTCCTTCCCTCCTTTCCCTTCCTTCCTTCTTTCCCCTTCCTTCGCTCCTCCCTCCTTTCTTCCTTTCTTCTGTCTTCCTTCCCTCCTTCTAATGGTTGTTAAGGAAGGCATTAGACATGAATAAATATATTCCCATGGGACAGCTTAATTCTCAACATTGTTGGTCCTGAAGTGATAAATGGAAGCCTGTCTAATGAAAATTTTATAGTGATTGTACCAGAATATGACAATATTTTGTGTGCGTCAAGAACATTTATGCAATTATTTATTATGGAAGAATTTTTTTTCATTCTATGTGAACTCACTGTGCTAAGAGTTTAAGAAAGGGGTCTATCCTCTCACAAAATAATCAATAAAAATTCTAGAGGCAGAAGAGAACCCAGACACTAAGCTGAGCCTGCCTAGTATACAACAGATGTGTTGGTTGAGGAATGAGATGAAGAGTTTAGCAAAAACTAGATAATTGAAAGCCTTCCGAGCAATTTGTGTAACTTTATTCTAGGAGCAATTGGAAGCTATCAAACGATTTTCAACAGCCAAGGCCAAGGACAAAATTTGTGTTAAAATAAATCACTCATGATGCCGTGTTGAGAATGGCTCAGAAGGGGTATATTGGAGACATGAATGTCAGGAGGAGACTCTTGTAGTAAGAGGTAAGTGGTGTGGTTCACAGAAATCAAAGGCGGTAGGGATGGAAAATTTGAATGATTCTAGATATATTTTAAAGGTAGAATCAGAGAATCAGGTAGCACGTGTGTAGGTGTGTTTGTTGGAAGTTGTATGCATTCCTTAGGGCTGCCATAACAATGTGCCACAGACTAGGTGGCTTAAACAACAAGAGTTATCTTCTCACAGTTCTGGAGGCTGGAAGTCGGAGATCAAAGTGATAGCAGGTTTGGTATCTCCTCAGGTCTTTCTCTTTGGCTTGTAGACACCTGTCTTCTCCCTCTGTCTTCAAAGGTCATCCCTTTGTGCCTTTCTGTGTCCCGATTTCTTCATATAAGAATAAAAATCGTCATGGATGAGGACCCACCTTAAAGATGTCTTTATAGCTTAATCACCAACCTAAAGGCTTTATCCTCAAATACAGTCACATTTTGTGGCAATGGCATTTAATATATCAGCATACGAACTCTGGGGAGACACAATTCAGCGTGTAAGGACAGTGACTTTCCTTCAACTTTAATTTTAAATAGTCAAACATACACATGAGTTTCAATGTCATTAAATCATAAAAGAAAATTTGATATTCTTATACCAGCAATATTGATGTTGAGTTGATAATCTTATAATAATAGCAATTAATCTTTATTAATAGCTAATCTCATTTAAATGTTTAAAAAAATGTATACTGAAGTATTATTTCTCTTCTTTTATGGATAAGAAAACCGAAGTTTAAAAATGTTTGTTTGCATGACCTGAAAAAGAAAACATCAAGATTTTATTCTGTTTCCCTGGATAACTATGTTTACAAGATTTCTTATAAAAAATTTCCTGTCTTTATATGTGTAACCCTGATTGCAAAGCAGGTGTGTGTTTCAGAGGAGATCAGGCATGGTCAGAGTGGCATGGCTATAGATAAGGGATATATTTAAATCAGATTATCAGGGATATAAAATAATAAAAAAAACCATAACCATAAACAGTCTTGAGATTACACTTTATGTATTATGGTGTAAAAATGTTTGTACATATTTTCCCTACACTTACATGGAGATTTTAGAGTTTTCCTCTTCGCATTGCTAGTACAATGCTTAGCATGAAAGATGTGTTTATTACACATATCGGCGTTAATGCACGGCTTTCCTACAAAACCCTTATACCATGAGGAGGAGAAGGAAAAGTAGAATATGAGGAATAATTGCAGGGCAGGCTTTTCTTCTATACTAGCTGATTTGGGGCTGAAAGAAAAATAAGGTAAATGATAACATTTATTTAAATTTATGTTAGGAACACGTCACAGAGGTGTGAAGGTATATATGTTATAAAGTGTCACTTTATTAAGCTTTGTGAAGTGCTTACCATGCTGAGAAGTCTATCATTATTTGTCCTCATTCCAGTATAAACTTAGACTTTTAAGCAAATCAGTTTTATTGAAGTCTTTGCTTAATAATATTATTAGATGTTTACCAGCTGGGCATGGTGACTCATGTCTGTAATCCCAGCACTTTGGGAGGATGAGGTGGGCAGATCACAAGGCCAGGAGTTTGAGACCAGCCTGGCCAATATGGTGAAACCCCTTCTCTACTAAAAATACAGAAAAATTATCCGGGCATGGTGGCGTACACCTGTAGTCCCAACTACTCAAGAGGCTGAGGCAGAAAAGAATCGCTTTAACCCGGGAGTCGGAGGTTGCAGTGAGCCGAGATCGCGCCACTGCACTGCAGCCTGGATAACAGAGCGAGACTCCATCTCAAAAATAAATAAATAAATAAATGACTTTTACCATAGTCTTCAGGATTTGTTAATAAAAGATAATCTTTCTAGAAATAGAATAAATTTCATATATCCTAGTTGTCTTGAGCTACAAACTGTCTATCATCTGCATTTATATCAATTCTTCTTTACATTCACACACAGTTTGTGTCTTTTTAAACGGATTGTAGAGAACATCAACACTATCTCTGCAACATTTTGATTCACACATGACAGCGGAAGTGCGTGGAAGCCCCACATTGAGTTGCGAGGCTCATCAGGTTTGTCATGAGTTGTGAAGATAGAATATTTATTTGGCTTAGAATGAATGCCAAACACTGTGCTGGAATGAATTATCAGCCATTGATGATGTATGCTATAGCACAAAGGGCCTTATTTATTGCCCCCTTTGCATTTTAAAATTATACCCAGAAACAGGGGAATGCCTAATAAAATGTATTATACTACCCATGTTCCTGTTAAAGTAAAAGTTAAATGGAATTTTGTTCCTTTAAATAAAAATAGTTTCTATGGGTAAACATCATTTTCAGACACCATACTAGAGAATAGGCACAAAGTCAAGATGTATTCTACAAGAAATACAGAAAAGGACATTTATATTCTCCTTTGTGTCTTGCTCAGTCTGAGTTTACCTTCAGAGAATAAACATCACCTTGGATAAAATTTTCATAATCCAGCAGTGCTAGATGTTAGAAAGGGGTATTACTACCCCGTGAAAAAAAAAAAAAAAAAAAAAAATCCATGACAAATTTTACCCGCATAAACAAACAGGCAACAGCTGATCTGTAGAAATGTCGTTCTTACTGTCAAGACAGACTTTGGGGATCCATATGTGATTCTTTACCTGTTTTTGAAGAATCTATAATGCTTTGCTTTTACCTTTGTTATGCCATCAAGAAGGGATTCTGATAGAAATAGTCACAGGGATCACGAGGTCAGGAGATCGAGACCATCCTGGCTAACATGGTGAAAGCCGGTCTCTACTAAAAAATACCAAAAAAGTAGCCAGGTGTGGTTGCGGGCACCTGTAGTCCCAGCTACATGGGAGACTAAGGCAGGAGAATGGCGTGAACCTGGGAGATGGAGCTTGCAGTGAGCCGGGATCGCACCACTGCAGTCCAGCCTGGGTGACAGAGCGAGACTCCGTCTCAAAAAAAAAAAAAAAAAAAAAAAAGTCACATTTGTATACTAATTTAATCTTGATAACAACTGCATTGTTCTGATAGTATATTTTTTGCAAGGGATGCAATAAATGAAGTCTATCTAACATTTTAAGTTTTATTTACTTGAGAACTAGTCAAGAAGCTGTACCTATTCTCAAGTGTAAAACTAAGCATTAGGGACTATGCAGTTTATCAATATATGAGAAAAATATTTTCTACAGTTAAAGACAAAATGCGTTGATATTAAACATAATGTTTAGTGAATATCCAAGGGGAAAATATTTGGTTTCAAACTTTTATTTTTTAAGAAGTTTAATCGTATATTTGACCTCAGGGGTAGTTGAGAGAGAGGTGGTACAAATAGCTCAAGGAAGGCTTAAGGGATGTGATTAGAATATTATTTTGAGGAGCGTGTAGGTGTCACCAAGTGGAAGATGAAAGCACAGTCAGACCTCACATTACAGGAAGCTCTGTGTAGATTCAGCCTCTTCAGTTCCTACAGTTCATCTCCTACCTTTCTGTACTCAGCCACACCACATGCCGTATACTTATAGAAATGGCGTCTCTATTTAACTATGAAGTCTTTTGATGTACTACTCTCAGTCTTTTGTCTAAAATCTACATTATGATTATAACTTGTAAATGAATAAGCAGTGGTTCTCCTTTTAACAGCAGTTAGAAATCACACTTCTCTGAGGCATTTCTAAAAAGGATTAGGACAAATCCAATCACGCTTGAGCCAGTGGAGTCATTAATGCTAGATTCCAACAGCAGGGAGAGACTTTTAAGACCAAAGTATAATGTTTTCTATTTTATAGATTAGATATGATATTCAGAAAGCCTGAATAATTAATCCGTCCATCCAATGCATTGTTCTACCTATCTCAGCATATGAACACTCTTTCTAAGTTAAATAATATATATATAATATAGCACATAGTACAATATTATATATACAAATATATAATTTGTAAGCATTGACAGATTTTGTTACAAAGAAAAATGTTAACCACCTCAAAATCTTCCTTTGAGTTGATAGACAAAATACTTTCATGTGTTATCTACTCCCCTCCAAAATTCCACTAAAATTACATTATAATCACAAAATGATTACTTCAAAGTCACAAGTTCACAAGGACAAATTAAATGGTAGAAGACAAGAGCGTAATACAATTTTGCAAGTTAGAAAACATAAGGTCAGTGGTAATTGATTTAAAAGAACCAGGAAAGAAGAATCCTAATGCAAAACTTCAGAAAGCCAAGAATCAAATCAACTCGCCTCAGGGTACACTCAAAAGCTTCAGCAATTGGCAGAACCAGAAATTTTTGCACTAAACTGAGGATGACGGTGAGGCAGAGTAAAAAAGTTGATCAAAAGTATATTTTACAAGGAATTAGGATCAAATTCCACTTCCATTACTGGGGGTCTTTGGAATAGAAGACCTTAGGCATATTTGGGGATTATACCAGAATAAAGATGTTAAACTAATCGTTTGCATGAATATAGACATCCTTGGCTCTCCAAACTTACATACTAGACTGACAAGAAGAAAGTGAGGGACCCTGAGCCACTCAAGAGAAAGAAAGAACTAAGGAAAAGATGTTGGGTCTTTTTCAGTAAAATAAGCAAGCTTGATTTACTGACAGTGACTCCATGGTGATGGAGCAGCCCTAGCCCTCCTCTCACACACACACTCAGGAGGTTCGATCATTTTCTTCTAATATAAGCAGACTGCCATAAAAATCTTCTGACAAGAAAGGCAAAATTCCCAATAAACACATAGGGTAAAGCAACTGGGAAGAAACTGAAAATTTGCAAGATATAAGAACTTAAATATATAATTGTTAAAATTACCTGAGAAGTAAAAGGATATATTATATTCACAAAACAAGAACAGAATGCTATGAAAAAGCAGGAACCATCTAGGAAAGAAAAGGTGTCAGAGACAACTTAGAAAATAAAGTTGGAGTAACAAATGGAGAAAATTAAATTGTTGAAGAAATTTTCCAGGATGGTTATTTCCAGATTGAAAGGGCCCAAGAAAACTGAATACTGAATGAAAATGGACTTGTATAACAAAATGTCATTAGGTGATTTCAGAACATTGGGACAAAAGAGAATATCCTACCAAATTTCCAGAGAGGAAACAAGTCAGAGTAGGTCAGTAATAATAATAATAATAAAAAACGTAAAGTAAATAACCTAAAATATTCTGATGGAATCCAATCTCAAAATCGGATTCCTATGCCCTGGCAAAATGTCATTTACTCCTAGACTTTTTCACAATACAAAACTTCACAATTTTTATCTCCCATGCACCTGTCTCAGTACATCTACCTAAAAGAGGAAATTAGCCAAGAAAGGAGAACATGGTGTGTTGGGGGTGGAGGTGGTCAAGGAAACTGGGAATGCATTCAAGAAGGTTCAAAAAATGAATTCCCAGGCTCCACATGAAAAGAGGGAGAAGATAATGACTGTGCTAGTTTTGTTGACAGCAGATCTGAAGGCTCCCCAGGAGACATCCTCAGAAGAGGAAATTGATAGGAATCTGCTGAATTTGAACATATTAAGTGTAGATGTTGAAAGTGGAAGAAGAGGTTGGGGATGTGTTGGTGATAAGTACAGATGAAACAAAAGCAACAACAACAATAAAAATTCTGTTTTTTTTGTTTTGTTTTTTTTTTTTTTTTTTGAGTTGGACTCTCACTCTGTAACCACGCTGGAGTGCAGTGGCGCGATCTCGGCTTACTGCAGCCTCTGACTCCCGGGTTCAAGCAACTCTCCTGCCTCAGCTTCCCAAGTAGCTGGGACTACAGGCACATGCCACCATGCCCGGCTAAAACAGGAATTCTTAAAACAATATGAGTTGTACGAGACAGAAATATTCATGATACAGCGCATGCACAGAGCCTGTAACACTTACCAATAATGACATGAATCCCGAAACTTACCCTACTTGCACTAGGATATAAGTATCCAGCAAGGATGAGTTGATGGTGTGTGGGTGTGAGGCTGTGGTGTGTGGGATGAAAGTATAAGTATCCAGCAAGGATGAGTGGACAGTGTGTGGGCGTGAGGTTGTGGGGTATGGGATGAAAGAAAGAAGACATATTTCCATGTGGAGAGCTAAAGCTTCAAGAGGAAAAAGCAAGCATGGGCTTTGTAACAATGGTCTTTGAAGGTTTGGAGATAAGCTAAAAGAGATGAGATGTGTTATCTGTAAAAATAGAATATAGGAGGGGGTTTGAGTAAGCAATGTGTTTGTTTGTTTGGTTGTTTTAAATTTTAAACCTTGGAGAGCATGTGGAATGGCATATGTGCATTCATAGTTGTCTTGCAACTTTCCCAATAGAGTCATCACAGATGTTTTAGTTCCAAATCGAAGGTACTGTTTACCATCCACATAAGTTTTTACTTGGTTCACGTTCTTGTCTCCTCATTAAAAACTGACCCTAATTTGTAGTAATTCACGAGTCTTCTCAGATCATTCTTACTCATGCATTCCTCCACGGGATTGCACCTGTCAGCCATGCAGAAACATGCCTTTCAAGGAGGAGCTGCTGTTTTCTCAGGGCACTTTTTCCGCAGGGGTCCCCGACCAAGAGTGCAAACTTTTCTCCAGAGGTGGGGGTGGGAGTGCTGGCCTGACAGTGTTTGCCAGATGCATGTGAAGACTGTTGAGGAACCATTTTGAGGTCTTGTCCACTGCTCTTGAGATGTTATAAATCACCTGAAGAATATAAAATGTGGTACTTGCTCAAGTGACAGCATCCCTTTCCCAAAGCAGTGGCATTTACCAATATCACAAGGCTTTGCAAGACAGAATAGTGTTTAACTGTGCATGCTCTGGAGTCAGAGTACCTGAATTTAATTCTGCCTTCACCATTTGCTGGCAGTGTCTGGGTTTCTTCATCTGCAAAACAGTAACAATAATAATAAGAATGATAAATAATGATAGTACAAATACCATCTACTTCAGAGTAAAGATTAAATGAGACAATATATGTCAAGACTTGGTAGCTGGCACATAGTAAATGCTGAATATACCTTTCTTAAATTTATTCATCATGACTGCCTATTATTTAATATCTTCCTTATAAGTAGTCTAAGTAAAGGGGGTGAGTGGTTCTAATATGCATACAGGTACTTTGGGTGTTGTATGTGGTGTGGGAAAGTAGAAACAATTAGAAAATCCCTCTGTGGAAAGGAAGGAAAACTGACTAGGAAAACCAAAGGGTTTCTGGTGGAGGGAGAAGTCTGCAGTTGAAGTTAGTTTTTATGATTTTCTTTTTTTTTTTTTTTTTTTTTTTTTTCATTAATGCTTGGAAAACTGTGTCCTTTCAGAAAAGGTGGTTGGTTTAGATTTTCCAGATTGGAGATTTTTTTTCAGGTGGCTGAAGCTGAAGGATAAAGAAGGAAGGGAGAGGCTTGTACTGCCAGAAAGAAAGAAGTCTAGAATAAGAAATCTGAAAAGCAGAGGGAGCCGCATGAGAATAACCTGGAGCGGGGCCTGTAGTGTTAGAAGCTTTCCGTAAGGCCATGGGTTTGATCCTGGAGGGGGCCGGACAGCCACCTCCAGGGATAGCAGGAACTTTAAATATCCTTTGTTTCTGCAGCAGATGCAAAGATGGATCAGAGAAGCATTTCTCTGGGTGAATCAGATAACTAGGATTGTTAAAAAAAATCACAGGAGATTGACTGATTTTTGGCTAAAACTTGAACTATGATTTTGGAGGCCAGGGTATATATATTTTGTAGGCCAGTGGCTCTCAAACTCGAATGTGCACCAGCATCAGCTTGACAGTGTAGGTCCTCACCTGCAGGGTCTCTTCCAGCAGAGTCTGTGTGGGCGTGAGAGCCTGTGTTCTAACCCATTCCCAGGAGACAGATGCTGTGGTCCTGGGACTGATCTTTGCCAACATCCACTTTACTTGTCCTGGACATCTCCTACCCCAGGTTAGGACACATCTCCAGAATGAAGTGTTGCCTGTTTCTATGAGAAAAGAGTTGTATGTTTATTTTTTTGTTGGCTTTTCAAACGGAGAGGAGCAGCTTCCAGGAGAGTGAAGTAACCAACCAATGATTAATAAACCCTCAGAATCTAATAAGGAGATAGAAGAAAACCAAATACAGAAAGCCTCAAGGACATGTGCAGTATAAATTGATGAAAGACAGCAGAAGGTGGCCCGTCCCCAGTCTCCATCCCACAATTGTGGATCAGTGGCCTCCCTGCAGCACTGACCATCAGTGGGAGACCTCCTGCTTCCAGTGTGCCCATGGAGGTGGGGTGCACAGGTTAAGCAAGTGAAATCTATGTTACTATGTTGGTTTGTGTCTTCGCTAGGGTGCTGTCCTGTGATGGGTGTTTGGCACCATTCTGGTGTGAATGCTGAATAGCTGAGACAGGTCTCGTAACCATGCAGTGGGTTCACCTTGCCCCCTGCCCAGACAGAGCCAATTTATCAACAGGGACATTGCTATGAAGAAAGAGTGATTCATGCAGAGCCGGTCGTGTGGGAGACTGGAGTTTTATTATTACTCAAATCAGTCTCCCAGAGCATTTGGGGATCAGGGTTTTTAATGGTAATTTGGTGGGTGGGGGCTTGGGAAGTGGGTAGTGCTGACTGGTCAGGTTGAAGATGAAATCACAGGGGGTCAAAGTGAGTTTTTCTTGCTGTCTTCTGTTTCTGGGTGCAATGGCAAAACTGGTCGGGCCAGATTAAAAGTCTTGGTGGTATCAGCTGATCCATGGAGTGCAGGGTCTGCAACATATCACAACCACCGATCTTAGATCTTAGGTTTTACAATAGTAATGTGATCCCCAGAAGCAATTTGGGAAGGTTCATACTCTTGGAGCCAGAGGCTGCGTGTCTCCTAAACCGTAAGTCCTAAACTTGTAGCTAATTTGTTAGTCCTGCAAAGCAGACTGGACACCAGGTAAGATGGGGGTCTTCTTGGGCTGTTATCAATTGATCAATTGATAAGGGCTCTATCAGTTGATAAGGGCTGTAAACAATTTTGTTTCAGAGTCAAACTGTGAACTGAATTCCTTCGCAAATTTAGTTCAGCCTATGCCCAGGAATGAACAAGGACAACTTAAAGGTTAGAAGCAACATAGAGTTGGTTAGGTCTGATTTCTGTCACTGACATAATTTCCTCAGTTATAATTCTGCAAAGGCAGTTTCAGTCTCAGTTAATTTAGAATGTTTATTTTTAACAAAGTTGAGGCTGCGCGCCCCTGACAGTCTCAGGAGGTCCGGCCGACGTGTACCCAGTGCGGCCGGGGCGCAGCTTGGTTTTATTCATTTTAGGGAGACATGGGACATCAAGCAACAGATGAAAGATGTGCATTGGTTTCGTCCAGAAAGGTGGGACAACTGGAGCAGGGAGGGGACCTGCAGGTCACAAGTAGGTGAGAGACAAACAGTTGCGCTCTTTAGAGTTTCTAATTAGCTTTTCCAAAGAAGCCAGTCAGATTCGCATTTATCTCAGTGAGCAGAGGGGTGACTTCGAATAGAATGGGAGGCAGGTTGGCCCTAAGCAGTTCCCAGCTCGACCTTTCCCTTTAGTTTAGTAATTTTGGGGCCCCAAGAGTTATCTTCCTTTTGAGACAAGAAGTCTTCTCCTGATCAAAGGTTTTTTTCTCGATGGAAGTGTTCCTGGTCTCACCGGCTTCAAGGAATGAAGCCGTGGACTGCAGCGGCGAGTGTTACAGCTGAATTAGAGAAACGTGCGGACCCCAAGAGTGTGCGGCGGCAAGATTTATGAAAGTGAAAGGAAAGCAAAAGCGACAGTAAAACTTCCAAGAGGTGGAAGGGGACCCGGAAGAGTTGCTGTTTCTGGCTTGGGTGTCTTATGCTTATATCTCCTTATAACCCCTCCGCTTTTCCTTTTTCTGTCCTATAGAGTTAGTTTATTTTGTATCTGCTTGTGGGTTGGTGGGCCTGATTGGTTAAAAACATCAGGCTGCAACTAGAGCTTAAACTTCCTATATGATTGGTTGAAGTTTCAGTCCCTTAGTTTGCAGCTGTGACTCATTCTGGCTTAGGGAAAAGCCCCCTTAGGGAAGTCCCTATTGACCTAGGAAGTCCAGCCAGATTAGCCACTTAGTCCCTCACTTTCACACTGGGCCTTGCCAGTGAGGTCTGGCTGTGCGTGCTGGTGCCAGGCACAGGAAACCCCAGATGGTCCCCACTACCGGGCGCAGGTGGCCACAAAGCTTCTGTAAGTTCTCAGGGCTTTGATACTTGAAGACACACTCAAGGGGCAGTTGGTGATTTCACCCCGTGGAGAGAAGTCCACAGTGGCCATCTGCAGCTTCGTGGGTTTCCTCCCTTCTACACTAAAGGGAAAAAAATTAAATACAAATCCCCTGTCTCCTTTTTGATATGGAGAAGAAAACATTTCATATCCGTAAAGAAAAGTTTCTCATTTAGAATCAGCTTGATAGAGGATCCTGTGGAATTATAACTGTTTAAATTGATGTTATTAATTTGCCAGTCAGTGCTTACTGTTAATGACCTCAGGCCTCACACTCCCCTGCCCAGGAGCCCTGAAGCTTCCTCCTGGTCGTACTGCCCACCCCCACTTCCTCCCCTGCGCCTCCGCAGACTGTTTTAGGACAACATTCATCACTTGACTTCTTGCAGAAAATAGTTTTTCTTTCTCTTTTTTTTCTTCGTTGTTCTGTGCGTAGAAGTCTGTGTGTTGGGAATGTCGTTCCGGAATGCAATGTAGAAAAAAAAAAGTTAGATAATCCATTAATATTTTAATTATTCTTTGTTTCCTGTACATCAGAAACTTTTTTCCAGCTTTTTTGAGTTGTAATTGACAAATAAGAAACTTCTTTGTAAGAGATTGTGAAATCTGATTTCAGGAATCACATACAACCCTGGAATGTGTATCTCGTTGAAAGTTCCGTGTTCTCATTCTCTATAGGTCCTCACTTGAACTTAGTTCTCTATTATATTTTATTTTGGGTTCTTCTGACTTCATCATCAGTAAATTATCACAGCATAAACACATTGAATTCTAATGATCTACAATGTGACTTCTTCCAAATGTGATAAAACCATAGAAGTTATCATCAGGTTTTCCCACTTTAAGAGTGTTACCAGTTCCCATTTCCAATGTTATCATCAAAGGAAAAATGACTTTTTTTCAAAAGTGATAAAAACCATAGAAATTAACGTTGAATTTCCTCACTTTAAATGTGTTACAAGTTCACATTTTCAATGTTAATCATCAAAGAAAACACAGTCCCGAATCTTCTAAAAGCAATTCAACTGCACTGATTTACCCACAATAATGATATTTAAACATTAAAGGCCAAATATATTTAAGAAACAGTAAAGCAAATGAAATATGTGGCACACCCAGATAAGAATTAATAAAGGACGTTATGGGATGGGTGAGGCTCCCACTGAGCCTACTAATTGGCATGCATCTGCTCCAGATAGTGACCTGGAAAATGTTTGTTGACCTAATATATTCTAAAAGCTACAAAGCCTGTATCATTTACTACATGTTTCTGTCATTAACTGTGAACTTGGCTCTAAGGAATTCCTAACCCTTCCATCATGTAGCCGAGTTATAAAAAACATCTCAGCATGGACTGCCTAAATATTCTTCATCTTCCTATTTTGTGTACTGATGGATCATTTTTCTGTTTTCCAATCTCACTGGCATTATGAAAGCATCAAAGCTTTTAATAATTAAACACAGAAAAATTCCAGTCTCTGATTGTAATTTGTCAAAGCTGGAAGCTCAGTGGCACGTCTTTGCCAATTATCACCGTAGGTCTAGCCACAGTGCTGCTTTGCAGTAGCCTAGAATTTAACGTGGATTTGTGTCCTTAAAGGGTCTCGTAGCTATTAGTTTCTTCAGGAGTTGCCTTTCTTTATGTGGACCAAGTTTCTGTTCTCTGTGAACTCTGTTACAGAGGGAGGGGGAGATTAAATCATTTGTTTTTTTGATGGAAGACAGTGACTTCCATTGATAAGAGCCAGAAATCTTCCCCTTTCACAGAAAGTGTTACTTCTAGGAAAAAATCCTGGGTTACAGCATTTAGCCATGCCCAGCTGCAGCCCCTGAGGGTCTGCCCTTCCTGGCCTCACATGGTTTGGTTTGGCGATTGGAGGCTTATCACCTCCATCTCTGCAGAAGAGCCCTAATTTTGTAGGGCATGCGATGTCCTCCAAACATTGGGAAAGCACGGGGTGACTGGCAGGTATTTAAAATGCGGCTGGTACTTTCTGGTTCTCTTTTAGACAGTTTACTTAATCTACGTGTCTCTTAGTTTCTTCATTTCCACCCTGGATCTATTGCTAACTGCGTCAGAGGTTTGTTGTTCATATTTAATGGGATCATGTTGGTGTACAGCCTGGCAAATTGTTGGCACTGAGTATATAGTAAATCCTATTTCTTCTTGGGTTAAATATCCCTTAATATTTGGTCATCAAAGCTGTCTTATGACCAGCAAATCTATAAATAACCAGGTCTTAAGAAATGTACGAAGTCAAACCAACTGCACTTCCCTCACAAAAGTCAGCAAATAGACTATCATTAACACGGTGTTGGAGTCACTGTCATTCTTATCAAGTCTGTCAGGAAAATAACTTAGCGACATTATGTAGTAAGTATCTCTGATATCCTATACGATACAATATTATATTTCTATGATATTGATATATATTTTATAAATTTATTTTAAAAGGAACATGTAGTTATACAATAAAGTTTATAGATTTAAAATTATTCTTAATGATTAAAAATATTTTAGTAAATCTATACATAAGCATTATTAAAATTTAAATTCACTAATCATTTAATATAAAATCAGGGAGTGTGATGTGTGATTCATGAGTTGGTATCTGAGAGTCATTCTAATAGTTTAAATTTCTTGGAGTATTGAAAAAAGAATGCTTTTTTTGTCCCCCCCAAAGCCTTGGAACTAAGTTACAATTAGAAAATAAGTGATGTACTGTAATATTACCTTTGTAATTTTGTGCAAATTAATGCTGTTTTATCCTTGCTGCCATAATTCTAGAATGAAGTATGTCAGAATGATGAAAACCCTCTTCAACTTTGAAATTAGAAAATCTTGGCTTAGTTTCCTAAGAATTCCCACTTCTTTTTTTTTTTTTTAAACTAGGTGTTTATGCACATGATTTACTTCTCTTTTGAAAAAAAAATAAAAGATTGATTACATTTTAGACAATTGCTTCACTTCTATTAACAAATCTGTCAGGGTTACAATTAATATTATTATAGTGAGAAATAGGAAAGTAACTAGAAGCAAGTATAGCAAAGAAGCCCTTGACCGGTGTGGTGGGCGTGTGAATTCTGTAATGAAAAATACATTGACACTCATGCCTGTAATCCCAGCCCTTTGGGAGGCCAAGGTGGGTGGATCATCTGAGGTCAGGAGTTTGAGACCAGCCTGGCCAACATGGTGGAACGGTGTCTCTACTAAAAATACAAAAACGAGCTGGGTGTGGTGTCAGGTGCCTGTAATCCCAGATAGCTGGGAGGCTGAGGCAGGAGAATTGCTTGAACCCGAGAGGCAGAGGTTGCTGTGAGCTAAGATCGTGCCATTGCACTCCAGCCTGGACAACAGAGTGAGACTCTGCCCAAAAATAAATAATAAATAAAAATAAAAATAAATAAAAAATAAAATAAAAATACCTTGACAAACAGACCCAGTCAGAAAAGAAACTCCTTTGTTCCTGGACTACTAAACTAGTATGTTTAATAAACCAAGCCATCAAAAGGTTCATGTTTCATGTATAGTTTGTCCATGACCATGTAAGAAAAGTATTCTTATTATACACATTTTCAGGCACATAGGAACAGAATTCCTAAATAAATTCCATGGTGTATAAACAATAAAACAGAAAAAATTTGTTTCTGTAATTTTAAAAGACTTCTCCCTCCTTTGTTTTGTGATTTCTGGCATGTCATGAGCTTCTGTCTTTTGTTTGGAAAGTGACATGTTTTAACTAGGTGTCCTCTAAGACACATTCTGAGCCTGACATTCTCTGCATGAGCCTGGAGTGTTTCTGAATATGTATTTGGCATCTAAACTTACTTCTTTAAAAGTCACGTGATGAAGTTACTGACTAGAGAAGGCCAGTGGCAGGTACACAGACTGTCTATTTGGCACCCAAAAGTGTGAGGCCACAGGCCATTTGAAAGCCTCCCGGTCGCCAGTTTTGGTATCCCTTATCGCCAGAAGATGCCAAATATAGAAATTTGGAAATAATTGATCTCCTGGTTCTTCTTCTAGCATTTGTGTGAGAAGTGACTGGCAGGGATGAGACAGAGAGGAGGAGGAAGGAGAGAAAACTCAACAAACAATTGGATGGGCATACGGTCAGCATGTTGGCATTAGTCTAAGTAAGAATCTGATTTTATAAAATAATCTTATCTTATAGCTAAGTAATCAATAAAATTGAAATAACACTGAAGTATATATAATAAAAGGTGAAAACCCTTCTTTACCCCAAATCCTTTTTATGCCCCAGGAGTCATGGCTGTCAGCCAATTAATTTTTTTTATTTTAAATTTTGTGGATACACAATAGGTGTATATATTTATGGGGTACGTGAGATGTTTTGATACAGGCATGCGATGTGTAGTATTCACATCATGGATAATGGGGTGTCCATCCCCTCAAGCATTTATCCTTTGTATTACAAATAATCCAATTATACTCTGTTATTTTTAAATGTGCAATTAAATTATCATCAACTGCCGTCACCCTATTGTGCTATCAAATACTAGGTCTTATTCATTCTTTTAAACTAATTTTTTTGATACCTATTAACCATCCCCAGCTCCTCTCACCCTCCCACTACCCTTACCAGACTCCGGCAACTGTCCTGTACTTTGTCGAACCCTTTCAGATGTGTCTCCAGAAACATACACAAACGTGTAGGAGTTTTAAAATCATAAATTGCATCGTAGAACGTTTTGTTACTCAGCTCAGGCTGCTGTAGCAAAATGCCATGGATGTTCATTTCCCACTGTTTGGAGGCTGGAAGTTTGTGATCAGACTGCCAGCCCACTGTGGTTCTGGGAGGACTCTCTTCCTGGCTTGCAAGTGTGTGCTTGTGTGCTTCCTTGTTCCTCACAGAGCACAGACAGAGCAGAAGTCCTGGTCTCCTCCCTAGATAGAAGAACACTACTATTATCCTCTGGTCTACACCCTTAAGGCCTCATCTAAACTTGGTTATTTCCCAAGCACCCCACCTACAAATACCAGGACATTGAGGATTACGAGTTTAACCAATGGGTTTTCGGGCTGACACAGATATTCAGTCCATGACACATCAATATCATCCTGTGACTTGATTTCTAACTGAAAACAGTAAAATCAGTAGTAGATCAACCTCTTTAAAAAATGTTCACTTAGCATTCCCTGCTGTGGATGTACCAAACTTTGATTAGTAATTTGCCTGTTGACATTTAGATTTGGGTTGTTTCCATTTGTTTCTATTTTTTTTTTAATTTTACTTTAAGTTCTAGGACACATGTGCAGAATGTGCAGGCTTGTTACATAGGTATATGTGTGCCACGATGGTTTGCTGCACCTATCAAACCATCATCTAGGTTTTAAGCCCGACATGCATTAGGTACGTTCCCTAATGATCTCCCTTCTCTTGTCCCCACCCACTGACAGGTCCCTGTGTGTGATGTTCCCCTCCCTGTGTCCGTGTGTTCTCATTATTCAACTCCCACTTATGAGTGAGAACATGTGGTGTTTGGTTTGCCGTTCTTGTGTTAGTTTGCTGAGAATGATGGCTTCCAGCTTCACCCATGTCCCCCCAAAGGAAATGAACTCATCCTTTTTAATGGCTGCATAGTATTCCATGGTGTATATGTGCCACATTTCTTTATCCAGTCTAACATTGTTGAGCATTTGGGTTGGTTCCAAGTCTTTGCTATTGTGAATAGTGCTGTAATAAACATACATGTGCATGTGTCTTTATAGTAGAACGATTCATATTCCTTTGGGCATATACCCAGTAATGGGATTGCTGGGTCAAATGGTATTTCTAGTTCTAGATCCTTGAGCAATCACCACACTGTCTTCCACAATGGTTGAACTAATTTACACACCCATCAACAGTGTAAAATGTGTTCCTAAGTCTCCACAGCCTTGCCAGCATCTATTGTTTCCTTACTTTTTCATGATCGCCATTTTTACTGGCGTGAGATGGTATCCCATTTTGGTTTGGTTTGCATTTCTCTAGTGACCAGTGATGATGAGCTTTTTTCTATATGTTTGCTGGCTGCATAAATGTCTTCTTTTGAGAAGTGACTGTCCATATCCTTTGTATACTTTTTGATTTTTTTTTTTTGTAAATTTCTTTAAGTTCTTTGTAGATTCTGGATGTTAGACATTTGTCAGATGGGTAGATTGCAAAGCTTCTATTTTTAAGTTTGCTGCAGTAAACATCCATACAGGTCGAACTTCTTCACATGTGAGCATTTCTTAAGGGCATGTTTCAGAAGTTTAGTTGCTGGAACAAAGCATGTGCTAAAAATTTAGTTTTTAATATTAATAGCTATTTGCCAGCATAAATGTACCAACACACCCCTCTGCTCCCACTGAGAGTCTGCCAAGGGCCGTTTCCTCACTATTCTGTACACCTGCAAACACACAAGCCTTATAATTTGTCTAATCATATGGCCGATGTTACACCCTTCATTGTTCCCTGATGACTAAGAGGCTTGAGAAAAACTTTTTTTTACCTATGTCATTTCTCATGTGCCTGCTCTTGTCCTTTGTACACTGCTTTTTTTTTTTTTCCTATTGACTTGCCCTGACTTTTCCAGGAAAATTTCTTTCTCTAGTTTTAAATGTCTTTCCTCTACTTTGTTTTGTGGTTTTTGACATGCCCTGAGTCTCTGTCTTTTGTTTGGAAAGTGAGATGTTCTAACTAGGTGTCCTCTAGGATACGTTCTGAGCCTGACATTCTCTGAATGGGCCTGGTGTGTTTCTGAATATCTATTTGACATCTAAACTTACTTCTCTAAAAGCTATGTGATGAAGTTACTGACTAGAGAAGGCCAGTGTCAGGTATACAGTCTGTCTATTTGGCACCCAGAAGTGCGGGCGCTTCAGCGTTTTAACACACCTTTTCTCTAACTGGAAGTCCTTTGTAAAAAATAATCATTGCCATCATTTATTGTAGCTGCTATTAGCTGTCACAATCAGTGAGTATTATAATAGGCTGCCGAGAGAGTTGGTCGGAGGGAGATGATTTATAGCACATTGAGTGCATCATTTATTAAGACGATCATAACCCTGAAATTGCAGCATGCGGTCCTGCTTGTATTTACCTTGCGGCAGGCAGAGGTTCAGCTTGGGAGCTCCTTTGCCTGGTGTCCCGGTGTTATGAAGCATGAGGCGATGACAGTGTTGGTACAGGCAGACGGTGATGTATAAGGAGGATCCCACCAGCCAGCCACGCATGCTGCTTCGAGTGAGTTCCTTGGGATTATAGATGAGAGGAAAGCAGACAGAAACGACCATGAGATGGAGGGGGTCCTTGGAAGCCATTCCAGCAACCATCGAGATGAATAATACTCAGATAATTCGAGGACGTGTCTGTCTTTTCTCCTTGGCTAGAATGTGGCAGCAAGAAAAAACAAAGCTCAAGGGGGAAAAGGGAGTAGAAAGGAGGCCAGATTTCATTCTGGTTAACTACTGACAGTTTCCAAACTGCGAAAAGAAAAAAAAAGGTTAAGCGTCAGGCCATCTTACTGAAGATAGTCACTAGGTGTAGCCTCTTACCAGCCTGATTCTCAGACTTCATGGAAAAGACAAAGGATGGTACACATTTCGAGTACCTCACTTTCTGATTTCAGAAAGCTTATTCTTTTTCTGGCACATTGTACAGTAAATGCCAGGTGCTTTTTGTTTTTTTTTAATAGACCCTATTTTTTAGAGTAGTTTTAGGTTGACAGCAAAACCGAACAGACTATAGAGTTTCCCGCACCCCCTGCCTCTCCACGTAGCCGCCCCTTTTAGCAACACCTGCCCTGCTGCATGGCGCGTTTGTTCCATCCAGGCACCTGCACTCGTACATCGCCGTCGGATGTGTACAGCTTACGTTAGGGTTCATTCATGGCGCGTTTGTTCCATCCAGGCACCTGCACTCATACATCACTGTCGGATGTGTACAGCTTACGTTAGGGTTCATTCATGGCGCGTTTGTTCCATCCAGGTACCTGCACTCATACATCGCCGTCGGATGTGTACAGCTTACGTTAGGGTTCATTCATGGCGCGTTTGTTCCATTCAGGCACCTGCACTCATACGTCGCCATCTGATGTGTACAGCTTACGTTAGGGTTCATTCATGGTGTGGTATATTCCATGGGTTTGGACAAGTGTATAATGACATGTATCCACCCTTATAGTATCATACAGAGTGGTTTCACCGTCCTAAAGATTCTATTTTATGTTGGGTGCGGTGGCTCACACTTGTAATCCCAGCACTGTGGGAGGCTGAGGCTTGTGGATCACCTGAGGTCAGGAGTTCAGGACCAGCCTGGCCAACATGGGGAAACCCCGTCTGTACTAAAAATACAAAAATTAGCTGGGTGCGGTGGTACGCGCCTGTAAATCCCAGCTACTTGGGAGGTAGGAAAATCGCTTGAACCCAGGAGGCGGAGGTTGCAGTGAGCCAAGATTGCCACTACAATCTAGCCTGGGAGACAGAGTGAGACTCCCTCTCCATAAATAAATAAATAAATAAATAAATAAATAAATAAATAAATAAATAAATAAAATAATGAAAACCCTGTTTTCTTGGTGTTTACTTCTCCCTGCCCCCAGTCACTGGCAACCACTGATCTTTCTTCTGTCTTCCTGTTTTCCCAGAATGTCATATGATTGGGGATCATGCAGTATGTACCTTTTCAGATTGGCTTTTTTTTTACTGAGAAATATGATTTACATTCCACCATGACTTTTCATGGCTTGATAGCTTATTTCTTTTTAGCACTGAATATTGACAGTCCATTGTCAGGATGTCCCACAGTTTATTCACTCACCTCTTACAGGGCACCTTGGTCGCTTCCAAATTTTAGCAATTATGGGCAAAGCACATATAAACATTCAGGTAAGTGTGGAGTTTGATCACGTATATATTTATTTAAAAATGTATGATCAGTTAAGTTCCTTATTAGCCAAATAATAAATTATGAATTAGCTGACAAAAGTGAAAGAATCCTACGTTTTTTCAAGATAATTTTTAGTTGTAAAAAAATACGTCTAAAGCATTATATATAAAAACACAGGCATACCTCAGAGATTCAGTTTTAGACTATAAAATGAATCATAGGAATATGTTGGCTTAGTGCATATGAAAATTATGTGTACACAGTAGTGTAACCTTTATGCAACAGTATTATGTCTAAAATGTGTACATACCTTAATTTTAAAATATTTTGTTGCCAAAAATGCTAAAAATTATCTAAGCGTTCAGTGAGTCATAATCTTTTTGCTACTGGAAGCTCTTGCCTCAATGTTGGTGGCTGCTGACTTACCAAGATGGTAGTTGCTGAAGGCTGGGGTAGCTGTGAAAATTTCTTAAAATGAGATATTGATATTTTGCCTCATCTATGGACTTTTTTTCATGAAAGATTTATCTCTAGGTTTCAATTCCGTTTGACAGCATTTTGCTCGGAGTAGCAATTCTTTCAAAATTTGAATCAATTCTTTCAAACCATGCTTCTGCATTATCAACTAGGTTTCTATAATAATCTAGATATTTTGTTGTCATTTCAACAATGTTTATGGCATCTTTACCAGGAGTAGATTGTATCTCAGCATACTATTTTCCTATCTTATCTGGAAGAAGCAATTCCTCATCTGTTAAGTTTTATCATGAGATTGCAGCAATTCAGTCACGTCTTCAGCCTCCCCTTCTAATTTTACCTCTCGCTATTTCTACCACATCTGCAGGTACCTCTGCTGAAGTCTTATTATATTCTTGAAACTCAACTGTAAAGTGTTGGAATCAACTTCTTCTAAACTCCTATTCATTTTGAAATTTTGACCTCCTCCCATGAAGCACAATTTTTCTTAATGGCATCTAGCAAAGATAATCCTTTCCAGAAGGTTTTTCAATTTATTTTGACCAAGTCCATCGAAGAATCCCTACCTATGAAAGCTATAGACTTATGCATTTATTAAGTTATAAGAGTTGAAAGTTTGAGTTATTCCTTGATCCATGGGCTGCAGAATGGATATTTTATTAGCTGGCATGAAGACAACATTAATCTCTTTAAGCATCTCTGTCCAAGCTCTTCCGTAACCACCTGTGTTGTCAATGAGCAGTAATATTTTGAAAGGAATCTTTTTTTCCTAGCAGTAGGTCTCAACAGTAGGCTTAAAATACTGCATTAACCGTGCTGTAAACAGATGTGGTCTCATCCAGACTTTATTTTTCCACTTAGACAGCACAGGCAGAGTGCATTTAGCATCATTCTTAAGAGCCCTAGGATTTTCAAAATGTTAAACAAACATTGGTTTCCACTAAAAGTTACCAGCTGCATGAGCTCCTAATAGAGGAGTCAGGCTGTCCTTTGAAGTTTTTAAGCCAAGCATTGACTTACCCTCTTTCCTCCTATGAAAGTCCTAGATGGCATCTTCTTCCTACATAAGGCTGTTTTGTCTACATGGAAAATCTGTTGTTTATTGTAGCCGTCTTCATCAATGATCTTAGATGTTCTGGAGAACGTGCTGCAGCTTCTACATTGACATTTGCTGCTTCACCTGGAACTTTTATATTATGGAGATGGCTTCTTTTCTTAAATCTTATGAACCAGTCTCTGCTGGCTTCGGAGTTTTCTTCTGCAACTTCCTTACCTCTCTCAGCCTTCATAGAGTTGAAGAAAATGAGGAGCTTGCTCTGAAGTAGGCCTTGGTTTAAGGGAATGTTGTAGCTGGTTTGGTGTTTTATGCAGATAACTTGAAAACTTTCTCCATCTCACCAATAAGGCTGTTTCATTTTCTTCTCATTCATGCACTTATAAGAGTAGCACTGGCTGGGCGCGGTGGCTCATGCCTGTAATCCTAGCACTTTGGGAGGTGGAGGCGGGTGGATCAGGAGGTCAGGAGTTCAAGACCATCCTGGCTAACACAGTGAAACTCTGTCTCTACTAAAATAACAGAAAATTAGCCAGGTGTGCTGGCACGTGCCTGTAATCCCAGCTACTCAGGAGGCAGAGGCAGGAGAATTGCTTGAACCTGGGAGGCAGAGGTTGCAGTGAGCCAAGATTGCACCATTGCAGTCCAGCCTGCGTGACAGAGCGAGATACTGTCTCATTTAAAAAAAAAAAAAAAAAAAAAAAAAAAAGCCCTTTTATTTTCCTTGAAGAACATTTTATTTGCACTCACAGCTTGGCTGTTGGGTGCAGCAGGCCTAGTTTTTTTGACATGTCTTTCTCACTTAGTTAATCATTTCTAGCTTTTGATTTAAAATGAGAGATGTGCAGTCCTTTCTTTCAATTGAACACATAGGAGCCACTGTAGGATTTTTAACTGTCCGAATTTCAATATTGTTGTGTCTCTGGGGCTAGGAAGGCCCGAGGAGGGAGAGTAAGATAAAGAACAGCTGATGAGTGGAACAGTAAGAACACACACCACATTAATCATTTAAGTTCACTGTCTTACATGGGGGTGTTTGTGGCATCCCCAAAACACCTTAAATGGTACCATCAAGGATCATTGACCACTGATTACCATAACAGATATAATAACAACAACTTTTGAAATATTGAAAGAATTACCAAAATGTAACGCAAAAGGATGAAGTGAGCACTTACTGTTGGAGAAATGGCTCCAATAGACTTGCTTGATGCCACGTTGGTACAAGCCTTCAATTTTTAAAAACGCAATATCAGCAAAGTGCAATACAGTGAAGAGCCATAAACAAAAGTTATGTCTGTGTGTATAAAATTCTAACGTTTGGAGCCATAAGCTGGAGCATTTAAGGATATATTGTTTAATATTTTTAAACATGTAATTAAATCTCCATATCACTTGCAAACCCTCATATATAAATATAGGGGCTTGTCTGGGGTTTGTGGGATTTGGGGCAGGATCCCCTTTGGACAGGTCCCTGCTTGCTGAGAACCAGCCCTCATACACGCACAGACTGTGAAGTCAGCCTCCCCAGAAGAGGGAACAGAGAAAGCAGGACGTGCTGTGTCCAGTTTGGGATGTCTTTTCCAAACTTCCTGTATTCAGGATGGGTCACTCCATTGGCAGGAGGGTGGAAGAACCAGGGGAGAATGGGGAGGGAACACATCCTCTTTTACTTATTAAATATTTACTGGCAAGCTCAGCCTTGTCAGGGCATTTTCTTCCTGGATGGGTTCTCTGCGATGGAGCCCTAGCCTCATCACAGGCCTGTGTCCGTTGCCAGGGTGGAGTCTGTGTAAATGTGCGGGAGCAGGCACAGAAAGGTGTATCAGAGACATTCATTGATGCCTTCTAAGAACCTCAGGAGGTGAGCTTCACACCCCTGAAAGAGGTGTTACTGGTTCTTGATAATTATGGCTCAGCAGCTATAGACTGCCCAGCTCTTTTAAGCTCTGGATGCCCAGCACTTTGAAGGGGCCCCTGATCTTGTGGGCTAATGTGGTTCCTTCAGTTTCCTTTTATTTCAAGACTAGCCTCAGACAAAATTGCAAATGTTAACATAAAGTAGATTTTTATACATTTCATGTCATTTAAAAGACTTGGTATAAACAAAATAATACAATAAAAAACTATGTATGTAAAATTACAGAGACTGTGCTTTTGCCATACTTTATTTATTTTAAGTTCTGGGGTACATGTGCTGGATGTGCAGGTTTCTTACATAGGTAAACATGTGCCATGTTGGTTTGCGGCACCTATCAACCCATCACCTAGGATTCAAGCCCCATATGTATTAGCTATTTATCCTGATGCTCTCCCTCACCCTATGCCCCACAACAGTTCCCAGTGTGTGTTGTTGCCCTCTCTGTTTCCATGTGTTCCTACTGTTCAGCTCCCACTTATAAGTGAGAACATGTGGTGTTTGTCTTTTGCTTCCTGCAGGAATTTGCTGAAGATAATGGCTTCTAACTCCATCCACGTCCCTACAAAGGACATAATTTCATTTCTTTTTATGTTTGCATAGTATTCCATGGTGTATGTGAACTGCATTTTCTTTATCCAGTCTATCAGTGATGGGCGTTTGGGTGGATTCCATGTCTTTGCTATTGTGGATAGTGCTGCAATGAACATACTCGTGCATGTGCTTTTCCCATTACTGGGTATATATCCTAAGGAATATAAATAATTCTATAATAAAGATACATACTTTTTTAATACTGTTTATTTCCATGTGTATTTCATCAATAAACTTTTCCCAAGGTCTTTTTTCGTAACAGCAGATTCTTTCTTCAGCCATCAGATTCTTCTGCTCATAAGATTTCACTGATCTATATCTAAAACAAACTGACTGATGATAATAGAAAGCAAAGACGTGGAACCAAAAGATGATGACAAACATAACACAAATATCAACAAAAATATTGGGAACAGGGAAACTTTTCTGTCCGAAATCATTAGAGTGTACGAACCAAACCAGAGCAAAACAAAACTTTGTAGAAGGAATCCTTGAAAGATACTAGATTTCTACCAGATTTTTCCATGCGGTGCAAGGTTTATTAAGTTATTTCCTTTCGCAGGGAGTCCCTGATTGCAGGCATCTCTTAGTGAGCTTGTTCCAGCTCAGATTGCATTTTAGAAAGAAACTGTAATACTTATTAATTGATCAGCTGAGTACTTCTAGAATGTCATTGTCTCACTTTATGTCTTTTGACATAAGAAAATAATATTTCAGTACTCTTCAAGGAAAAAAGTCTCTGATTTCCTTAAAAAAAGTAGAAATAGAAGCAGAACATTTAAAAACATACATATTCTTGAAAATATCTCTCGTTTGAATGTCTGTAATCTGAGTTCATGAACCTCTGGATGGTTGAGAGCATGAGAAAGGGGAAAAAAAACCCTGAAATTATAAGCAGCAAAACATTTTCTTAGGTAACTTTATAGAAACACACACATGCACACACACACCTGTATATATCAGGTATATATTAGGGAGAAAGTACAAAATGGTTTTCAGAAATCTGTTTAAAAATTAAACTAGTCAGAAAATTGTTTAAAAATTAAATACAAATGAAAATCCTTAACTTGCACACGCTAGGGGAAAATAATATATGAAAAGTTAACATTTCTTGGAGTATTTATGAGAGGGATCTGGCTTAAAGGAAAAGTAATGAAAATGTAGATTTCCAGAGTACTATATTTTTGACTCTTTCTGCTGGCTGACTTTTCCCTTAGATTAAAAACATACATATCCATAGGCTGAAGTTAGAGGCCAAAAATTCACAAGTTCCTGGGAAATGGTGGATAAATAAATTAAAATTGCTTCTCACAGTATATCATGACTTGTTTCGTTGCCAAGCTTTCAGTCTTGTTTTATTTTATTTCATATCTATATTCTCTAGATTTTAAATTTTATTCTTTAGATATGTGATCCAGATGAAATGGCAGATTTGCATATTTAAACCTTATTATTCTAAGACACTTTTCCAACTCCACCGTTATTTCCATGCTGGAGGAAAGCTTATTATTCCACGTGATCATTGGGTGACTTCAAGTTTCAGTCTAGCCTGGGCACAGTTTATCTTAATCATTTTAGTTAACACAGGATGATTCTGTGGTTCTAGTTAGTCCTTGGACTTTTTCATAGAGTATTATTCACCAAATTGTCATGATCTTATTTCATTTTCTGTGCCCAAATTGCCTGGAAAAGAACTTTATTATGAGAAAAAGCACAATGACTGTCTTGGACCTCTCCCTTATTTTTATCTTACTCTGTTTTAAGTATTTATGGTAACACCCTTTTTGTTTAGTCTCTCAGTCAATGACCACAGAAATCAAACTGTCTTATGTTACATGACACTTTAAAAATAAGACATAGTTGTTTTAAGATTTTTCATAGCATCATATGCCTCGGAGTATCTTGAAAATTATTTAATGATAATGGACAACAAACTTACAAGGTTGCCAATGATGTTGTCTAGAGCTTTTGATTCCAACAATATCCAAAGGCAAATGCTCCTGCGTAGTTCCAGACATTGACTGGGAAATGATGGTCAATTTTGCCTGAAAACTTCAGTGACTACTGACAATAAGTCTACTTATTCATGCACAGCATGTATGGGATTGTAAAGTAGGGTTACATATTTAGTGGTGTGGTACTCAATTCCCAAATAGATGAAACTTTCACCGTGATTAAGATTCTTTATTTTTGCTAGGTCACTATATTATATGCCCAGTAAATCTATGAAATAAGATTTTATTCGTGAAAATGATAGCTCAGCTTTGAGGAATATAGAAAAAAAATACAGCTGCTCCTTCATATCTGTGTGTTCTGCAAACAACCAAGGGTCAAAAACATTCAGAAAAAAAATGGATGGTTGTGTCTATACCGAAAATATTCAGGATTTTTTTCTGGCTATTATTCCATGAATAATACAGCATAACACTATTTACATAGCATTTACATTGTATTAGGTATTATAAATAATCTAGAGATGATTTAATGTATATAGGGAGAATGGATGCGGTTATATGCAAATACTATGCCATTTTATATGACGGACTTGAGCATCTGTAGATATTTGTATCCATGGAGGTCCTGAAACCAATCCTTTCCAGATAATTCGGAAAAACTGTAGTTTCTAAATTATACATAAATGGACAATTTCTAAGGCGATGGAATTTTTTGTCACAGTTTTTTAAATGATTTCTGGCTGTTTCCACTAAAGTGACAAATTCTTGCAGATAGGCTGATGTTGTGCATGCATATGCAGAACTCTGCTGGTCTTTGCCATGCTACTTAGGAGCTTGTGCTTTAGAATCAAGATATTTCAGATCTTAATGAGCTGCCTAGAAACTAAATGTAACAAAAGTCGGTATGCATACACTTCGTTTATTTTAAGTATTGTCTGCTTAACTGTTCTAAAAGGGGGAAAATAATTTGTCGAAAGTGTCAGGTGGCATTTCAAAAGGCTCTTCTGAGACTCTCGGGCCGGGAACCTGTGCTGTTGCCGTGTGGAAATCTAAAGGGATGGCATATCAGTGGATGGTGATTTCTGGGAAAACAGTTGGGGTTACAAATAAATTATCAAATTAAAACTGCATTTATAAGAGCAATCACTTGCCACTAAATCTGATGCTTTTAAAGCAGAGCCCTTCATGAGCAAATGATGAACAACATGGCAGTCACTTTGTCGTATGCTATGAACATGGTCGAGAGTAGTTCTTGATACAGATACCCGGGGTGAGATCTTGCATGCCAGGAGAATCATCATACAACACCCAATTTTTACAATTGTCATATGAGTTTACTGGCTTCCCAGAGATCATTCAACAGCATTTGAAACAACTCAACCTATAGAAATTAAATATTAAATGTTTACGAAGGACTTCACATAAGCTTGATTTGTTTCCCATAGAGTCTGATACAACTTAATAAAAATAAAACTGTCTCTCTTCTGTCTTCTCCCCTTCCCTACCCTCCTCCTCCTCCTCCTCCGTCTTTTTCTTGTTCTCTCTCTGTCTCTCTCTCTGTCTCTGTCTCTGTCTCTGTCTCTGTCTCTCTTTCTCTCTCTCTCTCTCCCCTGCAGTCTTTCTGTCTTTCCCTTACTTTCTACTTCTCTAAGCTCCCCGGTCAATGCTACTTTTACTGCAGTTTTCAGTCCGTAGGGGGCAAAACTTTGACGAAAATGTTATTTGTTTCAGTTTGTATTTAGGAAGATGAAAGAGTGAGTAATTCCTTCTATTTCCATCAGAGAGAATGTGCAGCCTGTCTCTTCGTTCTTATAAAGCAGGCTCAGATTGCCTGTCAGTTATTAACAGCAGGTGGTGACAGCCTCGTGCAGTCATGTGACAAACCGCAGCGTCCCTCCCTTTAATCACAGCATCTGATGGAGCGTGTGCGCTGCCCGGTTCCCTGTCATGTTGGACACAGATGATGGATTGTACTTCAAATGAGCTTTCGGTGGTGCTCATTGTACATGCAGTTTGAGTCGCTCATACTCCCAGCTATTCACAAAGCGCTTGCTTATAATTAGAAGCCAGCAGGTGCTACTTTGTAGCTTAAAAATTAGCCCAGATATCAATTAGTGCTGTAGACATGGAATTCTTCGGTGTTTGAAATATCCGTTTCACTTGTAATCATTATCCAGTGCTTTAAACAAATCCGTACCAATGTGATGTGTATCAAGACATTTTCTGCTGTGGAGCGAGTGATTTTTGTATAGAGAGGACTTTATCCTCTACAGGTGGCTTTGTAAGGAGCTTTATTCCTGAATGGAAATCCTCTCTATTTCAGGAAGTTCTAAATGAGGCAGTGCAGCGTGTTGAAATGGCAAGCACTTTGAATCAGCTGGAACTGGGTTTCCATTCTGGCGCCAGCTACTTCTAGCTCTGTAGTAGTGCAAGTGTTTTTCAGCCTTTTTGTTGCATTTGTTTTCTGAAGTTGACTGGAATTGTGTGTAGTAGAACCAGTACTATGCTTGGTTGTTAGTCCTCATTTCTGTCGTCATTATCACCTTGTTCATGTTGTCGTTGACATGGATGCCTGCTTGGAGATGTGCCGCGTGATATGTGGCAGCTCTCATACAATTTTCTCTCCTGTTAGTGTTGTCTAAGGCCCATCTGCTGAGTCTCTGACGTAGAGCTTCTCCCTGTGAAACTGAGAACCACAACGCGTTTTGGTTTATAAATAAGCCTATTGATTTGTTTTTAAATATTAACGATGACTTGAGTTGAAGAAATGCGGGGCAGTTTTTCTTTTCTCTCTGACTTCGGATAGTGTGTGCTGGTGTAGACCTGAGCTCTCCCAGACCATCGCCGTCAGCCACTGTGGCCGCTGATCACTAGCTGTGCGGGGTCTGTTGTTGAACTTAAGAGCTGTGTGTATAAAACGCACATCAGATCTTAAAGACTTGGTATGAAATAAAGAAAATGTTTTACTGTTTTTATAGTGAATACCTATCAACATCACATTTTGGATATATTTTGGTGAATAAAATATATTCGTAAAATTAATTCACCTTTAATTATTAACTCACATTTTTAGTTTTTTAATGTGGCTTCTCTTAAATTTAAAATATCATAGGAGGCTCTCATTCTGTTTCTATTGAACAGGGTTACTCAAGAGCAATGCAGAGAGAATGAAAGCTGAGAGTTTGGTGTGTAAAATTCTATAGAGTTTGATATGGAAATGACTTGTATAATATTTACCAGATCAATTATGCAGCATTGTAATTGAATGCTTTATTTTGACTTAAAAAATATAGGTATTGTGGATACTTCCTTTTAGAATTTGAGGTAAGCTCTAACGTATTTTCCCACCCACAGAAACACATACATTAATACTTGTGTTTATCCTGCTCGGAAGTTTATAGATCACTCCCTGACCCAATGCTGGATTCCTCTCATAGATCTCCGGGTGTCCATCAGGCACAGACGCTGGTCTGTACTCACCAGAGAAACATGTAATAAATCGATGGTCACTTTCCCTCCACCCACAAGGGTTGTCCTGCCTCAGAGACTCTACATAGCTCTTTCTCCTGCCTGGCACCCCTAAAATCTGGCCTACCTTGATGCAGTGGAGATGGTGGCACACCCGAAGATGCAATCTCCTGCTCTACATTTTCCTGTGGTGAAGTTGGGACTTGTGGCTAATTCAGGTCAGGTATTCAGGACGCACCGAACCTTGGGCTGAAGCCTGCAGGGGCCAGCACAGAGCCGAGCTGTGTCCTGTCTGCTCTGTTGTCCCGGGAAGCTCAGAGGGTCATGGCCTCAGCAAAAGGGGTGACAAGTAACTCAGTGGAAAGGACACTTTTCAACGCTGTAGAGGAGCCTCTTCAGTGAGAAATAAGCTTATGTTTACTACGATCCAGAAAGCTGTGGGTTGATCTTGCCATGGGGTACCCCAGCCTAGGCTAATATGACAGGTAAACCTGCTAATGGGGTCAGAAACCACGTTCCACCTGCTACTCCAATCCCCTTTGCTTTCCCTGTTTCCTCTTCTGCTGTAGCCCTCATCACCTACTCATAGACAATGAATTTGCTTATTTGTCGTATTTTTTAATTGTCTGCATCCAGCAGAAAATAAGCTTAATGAAGCCTAGAACCATCTCTGGAACATAGTTTCCTCAGTATATAATTATTTACTGAATGAATACATCATTAATGAGTTTAACCAGTGTCCATGCTCTTTCCTAAAAATACTTTTCTATAAACACCTTCTTATTCATAGTTACATGTCTAAAGCACATATAAACATAAAAAAAAAATTCAGAAGTGTTACAAGATTAAGATCACTAAAGCAATGAAATGAAGTTAAAATGAAAATTCCACCTTACAGTTGAATACGGCCGTTGATCAATATTTAGGGTTTCCTTTGACGTTATGTGAGCTTTTTCTGCCCTTGGAATAATCTTAGGATGTATGGCATCCATGGAATGGATATCTAATTTTCAGTTGTACGTTATTAGTGATTGTGTATTACATGTAGGGAGCTAAGGACACATTAAAACCCTCCCTTGCTGTCTTTACTTTAAATTTCATTGCTGCCTTTAGTTGGAATTAGGCCCTTAGCATTTCTATAATGTAGTTTTTAATTGAATTGCTTTTTTTTTAATGTGAAACTGTTCTATTATGATCGAATTGGCAGTGGCTGTGAGCAAGCATGTTTAAACTACTGTTGTGTAATTCTCACTCACAGTGGGATTGATCTTAATGGATACAAAAGAAAAAGTAATACCTAAAAATGTAAGGCTAAGCACTCAGAGGCTTTGATCTCAAGGAAACATTTAAAGACACTCTTCGTAAAGGTCAGCAAATAGCCAGCAGTTCCTGGGAAACGGAAAGCCGGATTGTGCTTTTCCCCGGGCTCTGACCTAGTTCCTCTTGGGACTGTTGCCAGCTATTGTGTGAAACCGCCTGGAACTGTGCTGTTTTACTAGTCTGTGGCACAGCTCTTTCCCATGTATGACAAACTAGCCTCATTCCAGACACTCTAATTCAGACCGTTCTCATGCAATTATTAATTCATTTATTTACAGTTTAACAGAAAAGTGGCTTTGAAAAGTTGCAAATTTAGGGTGTGGGAGGGTGGGGCCTCAATCCGTGAAAGCAAGAAAATTCAATAGAGTCAAATACATTCAGTGCACATATCCTGTGTGTGTGTGTGCATGCGTGTGCGCATGTGTGTGTGCGTGTGCATGTGTGTACACGTGTGTGTGTAGTACTGCCCTGTGCATTTTTTCACAGTGTGCAGTCTTAATGCCTTTTGTGTTCTAAGCACTCATGTGGAGAACACCAATCCTTGCACATGGGTGCTTAGAACTCAAAAGAAAAGATGGAGTGAGATAAATCATTATGTATCTATGTCTCTATGTGTATCCGCACTCACGTACATTCACACACACTATGACCCTAGAGAATGAACTAAATTCCAGTGAAAATCAAGGACAGTAACTGCTGCAGACGAGGGACTGAATCAACACTCTGCTTCTGTGGGACAGGTCAATCTTGATCATTTGTGTGTCTTGAGGGAGAACCTATTGTAGTACTTGAGTAATGCCCAGAAGGGCCAGGCTGGGGCAGGGACAGGCCTGTGCAGGTGTGCAGCTGGGGCACTCTTAGAACATCAGGAGCTCACGCGTCTGCAGCACAGGGTTTGAGGAGTGAATGTTGCAACACAGGCACAAAGCTGTTTGGCCTTGGGAACCTGGAGAGAACAAATATTAACTGCAAGAGATATAGCACCAGACAATGCTGCCAGGGAGTTAGAGCATTTTATGAAGAGGCTGTCATGGAATTTACCCTTTCTGTCATTCTGTTTTGAAGCAGGTAACTTTTGTAATATAAGAAGTTTCAGCTTTTCCTACTATCAAGTCTTGGATAAAGGAACTCTTATCATGGGTTTTAAGCATTCACTCCAGTTTATAATCATGTAAAAATGTGGCATATCAGATACCTAATGAGATTTAAAGATCCTTAAGACTACACAAGTGTTTACATGAAAATATCTGAATGAGTCCAACATTTTTTGTATCCATCGTATCAAACTTTGATGCAGTCAGTTTTACATGTGTGTATATATATTTACATTTATATATATTTATATGTTTATTTATATATATGTAAAACCCTTTTTAAAATAATCATGTGGATGTTATGGTACCCTTTTTTAACAGACAAAAAAGCCAAGGTTTAGAAAAGATAGAGAATTTGGCCAATGGTTCCCTGAAAATCATTGGAGATCTGGAATTCAAAACCAACTTTTTTCTACTCTGGAGAATATTGATGATCACTGTGTGTATATGCACACACACGTCATACTTTCAGTATGATATATATAATGTATGTATACACTGATCATCAGTATAGATTTATATGTATATAATTATATATATTTACCTTTTTGTTAGAAAATGTTGCTGTTACTGGTTTTGTGCTGACTGGCTCACAGTTGTGGCTACTTTGCAAAATAACTGTTAACTCGTGTTCAGAGATAGAATCCACTTTATAGAACTGTCTGGAGCTCAAAACCAAGGGCACAACCATGTAACATAATTCTCTGACCCGCTGAGTCAACTCACAATGTCAAAGAGTAAAAAGTTTAGAATACAAATATTTTTATTTGCTGGCTCTGCACGTGTTAAAGTTATCAGGGAATTTGTCACTTATTTTTAAAGTAAATGTGTGACTCCAGCACTCAGCACTTTGCTATAACCTTTAGACTGCAGAGGTAAGGGCGCTGGTTCTCAGGATAGATTCCTTCCTGATATCAAGCAGGATATGAATGCGGGCTGCACACAACTGCTGAAGGAGAAAAATCATCTTCCTTTTGTTGTCCTGGACTAATTAAATTCAAAAATATCTGCTTCCAATATCTTGTCTAAAATCTTTTGGATACATTTTAGGAGAACATTATCAGTAAATGTCCTGAATATTGGAGTATTTAAAGTTTTACAGCAAAAAACATTTAAAAGGCCAAGAACAGGAGGCATTTGAGTAGACATGAGTTACATTAGATTGAATTATTTCAGCCTGGGAGTCAGCCTCCTGTGATAAGCTGACATTTCAGTGACCATAAGCCTCCCCATTGTCGCTAAGTTTTCAAAGAATTCTGCCCCTCAAGTGACAGATTTGATATCTGCCTGAAACTGACCAAGGACTTTCTTAAATCTATTATGACAGAATCAGGGAGAATATTCTCCAGAGGGGTTAACCTTACGAAGTTACCAATGTCCAGTTTCTCTTGCAAGGAAAAACAAAGCAAAAATTCTACATATTTGTTTAAAATTAATAGAAAAAGCTAAGATCATGATTTCTCTGATCTTCCTTATAATGTGTAAAGTATAGCATATCTAAAAACAAAACATTACAGAAGGGCAAGGGGCATGAGTCCTAAATTACAAAAGAGACAATAAAGCATTTAACACAGAAAAACAAAACCAGTAAGTCATTTACATGATTTGAGGTTGTTTTTGTTTTTATATATTTCTTATTTGTTTCAATGAGCATTACTTCAGAAATTAGTGCAGCGCAGGTAAAACTTGCTGATCTCAGAAGACTGACTTGGGATTTCTGCATATCTGTGACAGTAATCCCTCAGCTATTGCCGGGTCCCCAGTCCCCAACACCATGGGATTCAAGAGTCCTCCTTTCTCTATTAGAAGCTCTAACAGCAAGTCCACTGGGAAAATGCTGTACATTATTAGGAGAGATAGTAGTTGTTAACAAGATGATGGGCAATTGCAATTTGAATTTTCAGATTCAATTCAGAGATGTGCGGAGTGAGTAATTCTCCGTTCACTTTGAACTCACAGACTTCTGTACCCAGCATTTGCTGTCCTAAGCAAAAGCTTTCACTTATCATTGGCCCAGTTTGCTTTTCTCCTCTGGAATGTGGTTTGATTACTCAATCATTTGGTTACCATCACTTTCATAAATTCAACATTCTATTTGGAAAGACTTTTAAAATGAGCCAAGGTACTTCAGAAGGTCCTCCTACATTTGGGTTGGAATATTTTAAAATGTACTTCTGTAAAATTAAGAAACTTCCTACACATCCATAATTTTTTAGGTATGTTTCCTGGTCGGCATATTTGGTGACTGCAGGGTGACTGAGGACAGCTGCACCATGGAGACCTTTTGTTTTGACAGTGTCAGAGCACAAGGGTAACTGTGCAGCCAATGAAAATATTCACCTGCCCAACCAACCTGAGTGGGATCGTTGTCAGGGCCCCAGATGGAATGTGGTATTGGTTAGGGCTGCCCATTTGCACTGTCTTTCCTTCCACAGCTGTTCAAGTGAAACTCTTTAACATGGGAGTTTGGAAGAACACCAAAGTGTTGCAATGAGTTAACCTCAGGGGAGAAACAGCAAAAAACAAAAGGAAAACCAAGAATTCATACGTGTATGTAGGCATATAGATGTATTCAGATGGACTCATAGACAGTATAGAGTGGTTCTTAAGTGTCCTGCTGAGGCCCTTAAAAGACTATTCGCTGGTTAACCGGTAGATGCATAGTTCTGAACCCAGCGCCGTCTCGTCTCTGGCATCATCTGCCTTTGCATCATTCTGCAATCACAGGCTGCGTGGATTGGGAATTTCTAGGACTACGCAGTTCAGATTTCAGTATTGTGCTGATGGAGTGATTACAGACAATACTCTGGGTTCTTAGCATTTCCACCTTCATATACACCACTTTCTGTTCTTTATTTCTTGTATAAATGGAGGCTTTCTAACATATATTTTTAAGTCTCTGAGGCTCTTGCTTTTACAGTTTATACATGTTTAACTTTTAACTTTTTATTTTTTGGCACCATACTCTAAAGGTAAGATCGATGACTTCATTTATGTAGTCCCCTGCAGCTCCCTAGAACAGCAGTGTGGAAGTTTATGAGGAAAAAAATTAAAGAGTCTCCCAGTATGAATGGCAATTTCAGCACCCTTTTTCCATCATCGAAATGATGGACATACTTATCCCCATTATCACGGTGGAAACTGTATATTTTGAGCTCTTACCACCTCCCAGGTGATGCTGTTCTCTTTATACATTCTTTGATTTGATCCTTCAACACTTCTATAAGATACCCATTTTTAATCCATTTTATAGTTGATGAGACTAAGGCTTAGAAAAGTTAAGCAACATTTGGAGATAAAAGGATAGTGAATTTGATTCTGCTTTGAACGGGCTACAGAGTAGTTGGCTGACTAGACACAGGGAAGGTGGAAGGAGATGGGTGGTGGAGGAATGCTGCCAGAATCTAGAAGTCACGAGGCATTCATTTGGTGAAGGTTTCATTTGGTAAAAGATACTAATAAGATACAAAAAGGATGAATACTATGACAATTAACTGCATGCCTACTGTTTTCCATCTGTATGCTAGAGACTATATAATCTCATTTAATCCTCACCCTTCCCCAAGGTAGTGGTAGTATATGCCCCATTTTACTCACATAAAAACCAAGGTATTGGGAAAAGTAAGTAATTTCCCCGGAGTCAGAAAGCCAGTGAGTAGGAGTCTGGATTAACCCAAATTTCTTGGATTCTAAAGTGCATGCTCACGTTATTACATTATATCTTCTTCTGGAAGTCATAAAAATGAAAATAAATGAATGAGAGTTTAGACAACTGTATTAGGAAGTAAAATAAATGAGTATTTTTATTCACTATTGTTGTTGTTGTTGATTTTTTGTTAGAAAAGTCTCCATGTCTGAACTGGTTCCCAGTACAACTAAAACTTAAATAAACGGAAAAGAAGGATGTTCTAAGGGAGCAAGATGTGGATACAATCAGGGATTTAAAGTAGCCTTCCCAGTACTATCATAAGGGAAGTGGCTGGGAGATTAACTCAGGAAGAGGTTCTAGTTTTAAGGAGGGGAGAAAGCAAGTAAAGTCCCAAAAGAAAAGAAGAGGTTTTGTTTGTTTGTTTGTATTTAAATAAGCAGACTGCATTGGTTTATTCTGAACCCAAGAAAGTGAGGTTTTTTTTTTTTAATTGGGGGATGGTTTTGAAGAACAGTTTGATTGATTGATATATGCCATGCCTTAAACAGTACTTCAGTTTGTTCACAAAGGTGCTCATAATGGCACAATCCGTAGTGAACAGCATTGAAGGCTGGAAGGAGCACTGTGGAAGATGATTGTTGGAGGCTTAGGAATGGTGTATTAGAACTGAGTGGTGGCATTGCAAGGCTTTAGAAAGCAGCTTCAGGTAAGCGATAGGAGGTGAGGCGTGATTACCAGATTTTATGACTGAACAGATGTTGAAAATGGGAGAAAGTGAGTATAGCTCCTTCATGTAATTCAGTAGAGATAATAAGGATAGAGGCGATGAAAGTAACAGAACAAAGAAAGACACTTGAAGAGGGAAGGAATTAGAAATGGTGTGTGTGTGTGTGTGCGTGTGTGTGTGAGTGTGTATGTGTGTGTGTTCAGATAAATAAGACATATGCATGGTTGGGGCCTGAAAGAAGGAATCCACTGGTAGCAGAGATGGACAAAAAAAGAAAAAAACAGATGAAAATAATGTCTAGAATGAAGAAGAAAAAAACAGATGTGTCACATGCATCCACATTTGTTATTAATTCAGCTGAAGAGTTGTTTGGAGTCTAAGAGAGTTCATGTGTATTCTTACCTCTTTGAAAATTGTAAAACAGTTTTAACATTTTTTCTGTGTTGTACCCCAGTCTCTAATACTGGTTCTAACCCACAGTTGGTCCTCAGTGCTTTCTGGACGGGAATAAATGAATGAGTGAGCAAGATTTATGGCATAGCCTTAGTGATGAGAAGAGACAACTTTTTATGACATTGTCTTCTTATTAGTAATGACTGCAATTCTATCCCTGTCTGACAAAGGAGAGCAGAAGGGATAAATATTGCTGAATGGAAATAAACCTAGAGTAGGTGCTACAGAGATGAGAACCTTTATTTGCCGTAAGACAGTGAAGAATTAAAAACCACCAATACGTAGAAATGGGGTATTTCACTACCTTCACTTATTTGAACCTTAGAGAGGGTGTTGAGTTCCCAATCTTTCAGGCCGAATCCACTGACTGAATCCACTTTCTCAGCTCTCTGTGGTTGACTTCGCAGCTGGGTAACTGGCCTAAAACTAAAACACAGGAGCTAGACAACTTCCAACATGGAACAATATGTGTCTGATGCATGTTGCACATATTATGTAACATGACCCTGAAAAAAATGACAAATCCATTTTGGAAAATTAAATTTTGTAGAAAAAAAATAGTGAAGATCAACACTATTATGATACGCATTTATTCTCAGTGTGATACTTTATGAAGTTCTTGTTCCAAATTACTTGCCTTTTGTTCTGATGCCATTACATCTGAAGTACATTGTATTTATTGTAATATAATTAGATTCTATTCAAAGTATGTGTATAGAATTGTGTTGAAATTAGCTTTATTCTAAAGCTGCAAAACATGTTATTCTAATTTACAAGGGTTTTATATGAAATCTGATGAGTGAAAGATCATCTTAATTCAGCCTTTGTTGTTGAGATATTTTATTTTAACAAGAACTTTAAGTGAGCATTCTCTGTGCCTGAACAAAAATTATATGAACTCCTGCAAATCACTCTTGACAGAGTTCATTTCCATCTGATCCACAGATTCTAAAAAATAAGAACATACCATGATCAAACAGAAATTAACTTTACCTTCATATGATGCTCTTTTTCTTCCAAATGTTCAGCTGATGAAGCCCCATGGATAGACGTAGTCACACAGTAGTGTAATAGAACGTTGTCTGAAACAATAGACAGGGCAAACATAACCCACCCACAGCATTTGTAATCATGCTAAAACTAATGTTCGTACTTACCCAGAATTTGACAACTACACTGAATTTGTTTTTTAAGTATTAACCTTATGTTGAATGTTCTTTCTGAATTCCAAGGGCTAAAATTCACTGTCTTAAACAAGAACATCTTTTAAAGTTTTTTACTTGAATCCCTATGTTGCAGATAGCTTATCTCCAACATAAGCTAATCAATCTGGGTGTTACTAGAATCATACTGCACTGAGTAGTCCTCTGACTTTCTGTCTTGAGGTGAATCTGAACACACCAGGGGCAACAAGACATTCAAAGGGAATCTAAATCTTTCTTAATTGGCACAAATTATTACAACCCCCTTTAATGAAAGATGCTTTATTTAGCGTATATGTATACAACGTTCATGTGTGGTCTGTTTAATTCTTATAACACCCGTGTGTGGTAAGCATTCTTCTTTTACACATTTTATAAAGGTGTCAACTGAGGCAAATTAAAATAAGTGTTTCAGTATCACCCATTTTATAAGACAGAGCTTAGACTGTAATCTAGTTTTCTGATTTCCAGTTCTTTGTACTACAAAAGGGACTTATCTCCTTCCAAGCTACTTGATTCATTCAATCAGCAATTGCTTATTGAGCATATATAATGGTAAGCATGACAGAAAGAAATGAACAGCTCGTTGCAGCTCAGAGTGCAGAGAGGGGAAGGCACAGCCGTGCTTCTTTTTGTAGTACATAATTAAAGAGTAAACATTTATGAATGAGGCATCAGTTAATTAAAAAAAGATGGGGGTGGAAAAATAATTTTCAAAGATTTTATCTCTGCCCATCCCTTTGAATTTACTCACTGGCTCACACATCTAAATGGCGTTTGTTTTTGGGGTGTTTGCTCTGCAATTATGTATAAAACTGAGGCAACTGAGAGCTTTAAAATTGCAAGATGGCTTTGCAGGAATCCTTTACCTGAGACACACACCTCCATTAAATATATCAAGAATGATGGGTCAGAAGACAGCGTCGGAGTGCAACTCCGCAAGTGTCTTCTAAATTGCAGGGAAAAAACTCATACAATATTCTTTTTATTTTCTCAGATGATTACCTATGGATTAGTGAGTGACGCTTTTGGAAAGTCTGAATTTGTTGCCTTATGTTCTTATCTAAATATCTTAGTAAAGATTTTTAAGATATCTTTCATTGTAATTGATCAGATTACACAATACAAACTTAAGAAAAGGTATCCTTAGTGGCGTGCATTATCAATCGTTAAGAAAGGATTTAACATTCTCAGTTTTTTCTAAGTAGTCATTGGCTGTCTCATAATTTGAGCCTATGGGGATTGCCTCAAAGATTCTTACATTTTAGATGGGGATCATCTGGTTTGCATTTTTCCTTCCTGTTTTCACTCTATGTCTGGATTAGAGCCATAGGCATCCACTAGGCCATGTCTGGGAGCCCCATATGGAAATCCAAGCTGTCCTATTTCTGGGTTGTTTCCTCTGCAGACAAATGTGGTGATCCTAGCACAATGGCATCCCAAGGGCCTGCTTGCTATCAAGAGCTAGCAGGGAAAGTCGGTTGCTTTTTATTATTATTATAATTATTAAGAGTTTCATCTCAGTGGTTCCATTTTGAAGAGAAAAACTGATCTCTTAGTCAGCCCTCACCTATTATAGAACATCTAGGACCCTGGATGTTTTTGAGGAACCATCCAACAACAGTCTTGTGATAACATATAACATAAAACAACACTGTAGTTACAAGAACAAAACACACCACACATTATACCCATGAATTATTATCCTTTCCTATGTTTCTGACAACTCTGGGTTTTTGGTTAAGAAATATTTTGTCCTTCTTTTAGGCATGAATCTTTTTAGGAATGATACATTTAAATAACTGAAACAAAAATGTGTGTATAAAGTTTCTACTCTTAACATTGATAGTTTAGCTTTCAACACTTTAAAAAGTTTTAAATACATTCCAATGCAAAAACAAATGAATAAACATGCATACAAATACATATATAAAACCTTAGAACTGAATTCACGTAATAGGACTATGTAGAGAAATAAAACTACGTGACTTGAACAAATTGAAGTACGGATGCACCTCATCATAGCTTCTATAACCTTTTAATTTTACAAGAACCCTCAGTTGTTGAATGTGGATGTTTTCTCTTCTATAACACACGCAGCTCTGCAGGTGCACATTACTTTGTTTCTTGGTTTTCTTTGACTCTCCCAAATACATTTATTCCCAGTTCCTTAAAAGTTGCATGTTTACATTGATACTAGTGGGGACATTCTTTCCACTTCAAATTTCGGAAAATAGGAAAAACAACACAAAAATACAAAATGCTCAAATTGCAAGAAAGAACTACAATCACTAGCTGCACTATTGTCATTTTTTTTTCTTTTTTACTTTTTTGTTTGTTTTAGTTTCTACATCAGCCACATACAACCAGGCAATGCAGGAAGCTGCTAATGTGGCAAATGTTATATCAGGTAATAACAGAATTGATATTAAAGGTTACACATTTTAATCTCCTCGGAGGAACCTCTTAGGGAACATGAAAGATCAGCCTGAGTTAAGGAGAGGCAGTACGTTGTAACCAAACCAGTTTGTGTTCGCTGTGGCTATCCGTCCCCAACAACTTCTCAGCACATCCTACCTCTCTTCCTCCCAAGTTCTTTCCATATCCGTCACGTCACTTTGTTTCCTCTGCAGTTACATTAATCCAAGCTCTTGTTAGCCCAAAGCTCAACTACTTACATGACTTTCTCAAGATCTTTGTTGCCATGGTCTCTCCATTTCTAGTCCACCTGTATAATACTATATTATTGAATACTTTATTCACTATCTCCCCATTCCCAGTTCAAAACCTTCAATGACTTCCCCATGTCTCTCCAGTATCCTCTTCAATCTGTCTTTTAACATACACAATATGCCCCAAACACATCACCAACTATGCTTCACCTTTATTTCCTTGATAAGCGTTTGCTCCCTGGCAGGCCTGTTTATCCAGTACTCCATGCGCAGTGTTAGCTCAGCATCTCACCTCCATCATTTGTCTGAATGGAGAAGGAGGCTCCCCACTGCCCTGTCTCTCTAGAAGCCGGCGTTTCCTCTCCGTCTGTAAATGCATCTGAAGTGCGGTCGCTACTTCCACATGTGTGTCCCCACATGTGTGACACACGCCTCTCCTCTGACCTACACAAGCACAGCACGGTGCTCCATTACTATTTTCATGTGGGCGTCTACAAGAATCTCCCACTGAAGCTATTTAATCTGAAAGTTAGATTCCTCCACCCTGCGTGGTTGCTCCAGCGTTAATCCAGGCATCATCTTCGATTCCTCCCTCTACCTCACTTCCCACAGCAAATCCACACACCTGACCGCCCTGCCTTGCCAACATAGTTCTCAAAACTAAATATGACCCACTCTTTCCTCTGTTACCCATGAGTCCAGCTCACAGCCACCTCTGGCCTGGGTTCCTACAGTCGCCTGCTGATTCTTCTCCTTGTTCCCTACCGCCTCCCCCAGTAGATCACCCCTGATTTACAAACAGTCAACTTGTCCAGGTTACGAGGGCAGCTAGTGCAGCCAAGCTCACACCCAGGTTTGGCTCCAAAGAGTGCTCACCACATTCGTGTGCACGGCTGTGTCCCCTCATCCCCCCCACACACGGAGGCACCATCTGTTGGGGAAGCCGTTTTCCTCCATCCACACAGCGTCACTTCCACACTGTCCTTCACACCAGCTCTCTGGTGCATTCTATTGATTTTCTTTGTCTTTTTTCTTTATCTATCTATCTATCTATCTATCTATCTATCTATCTATCTATCTATTTGAGATGTAGTCTCAGTCACTCTTTTGCTCAGGTTGGAGCGTAATGGCGCAATCTGGGCTCACTGAAACCTCTGCCTCCTGCGTTCAAGTGATTCTCCTGCCTCAGCCTCCCGATTGCTGGGATTACAGGCATGCACCACCACACCCAGCTACTTTTTGTATTTTTAGTAGATATGGGATTTCACCATGTTGGCCAAGCTGGTCTTGAACTCCTGACCTCAGTTTATCTTTCCACCTCAGCCTCCCAAAGTGCCGAAATTACAGTTGTGAGCCTCTGCACCCGGCCGTTCTGTTGCTTTCCTTTTTAAAATTCACTTTCTCCTCTCAATCATAGTTGGCTTAAATTCGACTTTCAAATAGGGAAAAAGCATACCGATATTCTGCCACTTTTTTTCAATGTGGTGTTCTATATAAAAGAGAAAACTCGTAGTATGTAAAATTTCACTATATTCCTTTGAATCATGAGCTAACATAACATCTATGTAACTTCTATTTAATATCTTAATTCAGATATTCAGATTCAAGGGGAGTGCATTAAAAATTGTACACCTCTGTTGGCTTTAAACAATTTGGCTTTCTAAATATCACGTTAAATATAAAATTTAACTTTCATTATTCTTCTACATTTGTATTTACTTCATGGAAATTAAAACCTGGTTTATTTAAATTGTATAGGATAAATTATTTTTTATGTAAATGTGATTTTTTAGCTTAATTAGCAAAGTATTATGTAAACATAGGTAAATTATACTTTATTTACATAATGTGAAACTTCAAATTTTCTGTTTACTTGTTACTGTAAACCTGCAAACAGTCAATATGACTTGTATAATTTATGGCTGGAGATTTTAGGCACAAGGGCCTTTGAGTTAATTATGTGGTTAAAATATTCAGAACACAACTTGTTCAAACTATGCAATAACCAACAAGTCACAAAAATGTTCACAGCATTCCTCAGTGGTCTTTTCTTTGACCCCCACTATGTATAAGATACTCCCCACACAGAGAGGAGTGACAGGAAGAGTAATAAAGGATTCAGAGAAATAAATATTAAAAAAAACTTGTGTTTTGGCAAGTCCAGAAGTAATTATTTAAATTCTACTTATAATGATTATTCAACCAGCAAAGTGCTTTGATCAAAACAAATTAAAAATATTGGTCTATTAAAAAATAGATTTCATGAAATAATACAGTAAAAGGAATAAAAGTTATATTTAAAGAAAATGTGGAAGTTAAAAAGTTGTCAAAATTATTTCAAAAATCACATTAAGGAAAAATATTCAAGAAAAAGGACCTACTGAATTCTGTTTGGAAATGATTTAATACATTCTTAATTCACGTCATTCTTCTCATAATTGCTTAAGATGATATGCTAATTATTGGTAGTGTTAAGAAAGAGAATCACATTTCTTTAAAATAATTTTCCAAAATACTTCTATTCTTTTTTTAAATATGCCTACTGAAACTTAAAGACAATATGCTTAATTATCATTTTACCAAAGATAAGAGTGTCATAATATGGTCATAATATAGTCTCATAATATGCTGAAGCCAATATGAAGTTCATTGCCTTACGGTGGAGAGCACAGCAGCCCTGGTGGCTGAAGTGTCACGTCATGATTCTCCTGGAGCATCAGACACAGGAAAGGACGAAGCCAGGAAATGTTGCCCTCGGGTTTCCCATACTCAGTTGGTTGGAACAAATTAATGGAGGTTTTGCCTGTTTGTCTTCCTTTTCTAGGATGACCTTAAATAGTTATCAATACATGTCTATTAATTTCAATGGATTTTGAAATTGTCCTCTTTAGTAGAATTTAAGGAAAAATTTTCTTCTCTTAAGGAGAAAGTATTTCTCTAAGAATAATCAGAATTACGTCCCTCTTAAGCTTCTAAGTAGTGCTAGCAATGAAATAAAATTGCCCCCTTCCCTGTGATATGTGCTACGTAATATTATGTAAAAGTAGCTTCACTTTTTAGGCGCATAAAATGTCTTAGCAGAGTTACGTGAGTCCCTTTTCCTCAATGACATTTTTAAATAGAGAACTGGGAGCACTGACTATTTAAAACTCTGTACGGTTCTTACAATGCGGAGTCTAATTTTGTTAAAATTCTGTTGTTTCTCCATTGCTAAATAGTCCATTTTAAGGATAAGGCCTCTTCCAGTATTTTACCAACCTTGTGACTACAACTTAAAGTAGAATATGTTAAATACAGGATACATTTATACACACCAGCACACCAAGCGAGGCTTGTGCCTTTATCAGCTTTCCTAAGTCTTCACAGATTTTAGGGAGTGAGCATTGATTTTGAAGAACTCGTTGTGGGGCTCTTTATTGGAATTGTTTTCTTGCTACTCTATGTGAGGTGTATGTCCTACAATTATAATACTGAGGGATAGAAAGGAGCGGTGGCCACGTTTGCATTGCTGAGTGCCAGCTTTAACATAATTATCTTCCAGCAATGCAGCATATAAGTAAATACTTTTAAAAATCCCTCTGTTTGCTGTTTTTCTGACGTGGAGCAAAAGTGCAAATAATAACTTGAGTAAAAGAAAATTGATAACTTCATTAAAATTCATTTGTTTTATATTTATTTTCTTCCATGGACATTTCAAATTCAATGATGGAATCATTCTAACTACAACAAAATATTTATTGAATCAGAATTTTAATAAAATTGGAAATTTTATTAGATTATTATTTTTTTCTAATTTGCATCCTCATTATTCACCTTTAAGACTGCTTTTGGCAGGGCGTGGTGGTTCAAGCCCGTAATCCCAGCACTTTGGGAGGCCGAGCCATGTGGATCACTTGAGGTCAGGAATTCGAGACCAGCCTGGCCAAAATGGTGAAACCCCATCTCTACTAAAATTACAAAAATTAGCTGGGCATTGTGGTGGGTGCCTGTAGACCCAGATACTTGTGAGGCTGAGACAGGAGAATCACTTGAACCCAGGAGGTGGAGGTTGCAGTGAGCCAGGATTGCACCGCTGCACTCCAGCCTGGGTGACAGACCAAGACCCCATCTCAAAAAAGAAAAGAAAAAAAAAAAAAGACTGCCCCTTATGTTACTAATAATGTAGACAGCATCCATTAGTAAAATAGTTATGGCATCCCTTCGCCAAATATTTCTATTTTTTCATTCGACTTAAAGAATATATGTTCTTTAACCACGCACCAGTGAATTATTAATTATAACCCACTACTTCAATTTTTATATGTGTTGGTTTAATGTTTAAGTAAAATTGATTTAAAACTCCACTAGAACCTACTAGAGATAAAATTAGGAAATTGATGTGCTTTCTTTCACTTAAATTACTTAAGTTCAGGGACGTTCTTTTACAATTCTGAGAATTCGTGTATCACACTTGAAGGTCAGGTGAGCACACCTAAATATTTTAGTTTCTGTTGTAAAAGCAAGATAATCCAAGACATGAAGAGGTGTACAAAGCTTTCCATGAAGCAGTAGGAGTTATTTCTAGCTGTTTGTTTTTTATTTTAAAACCTTCCCATGTATTTTCTTAAAAAAATTAAACACGTCCAATCAAGACTAGGGTGTTAATTAAAAAGGAGTAAGAGTGGAAAATCTGACACTTTGTAATTTATTTTTAAGGCATGATAGATAATGACTCATGTTTAATGTTTCTTTATAAACGATATTACCTAGTGGCTTTAACTTTCCTTAATTAGAATCTAAGCTCTTTGACAACAGGGCTTACGTGATAACTTCTCAAAAACAAGCCAAAAATACTTTTTAAGACAATCATGTACTGTAGTCAAAAGTGGAGGTTACACTCAAAACAGTATCAAGCCAATTAAGACTGTATTCTATTAATGATGAGCTTCCAGAGTTAAACATAGCAAAAGGTGTATTTAAGTGTAAGTTAAGTTTTGCTCATTCGAAAATTTACATGTCCTATGATAAATCAATATCAAATATAATTCCTTTACAAAACAGGCTAGTAGAGAAAGTAGGTTTCCATTATAGCGGCATTCTATCTGAAAGTCAGCAACGTATTCAACAATAATACATGTAATATTCTTTCCTCGGTTCATTCCAATCAGGTCCCTGACCCCACAGCTCTGCAGGTACTTCTCTGTGGTGAGATCCCACCACCATTCATTCCAGAAGCCTCAGCTCTCACCCTCCAAGACCAAACACACTCGGTAGACTGAGTGGCATTATTGCCCATAACAAAAATACCCCCAAACTAATGAATGATGTTGTGTCAATAATAATTAAAATAATCTTGAGCTAGCTTTCTGTGTTGGGCACATTCTATATGTTAAGCACTTTACTAAGCCCATTAACACATATTTCTTCACTTATTCCTTAGAATAGTGCACATAATTTTATTATCCCCATTTAACCTTTGAGAGAAGAGGTATAATAACTAAGTAATGCAAGTCAGAATCCAAATTGTGTTAAATCAGAATGCTATATAAGACTTGGATATATGGAATGTGTCACTTTTTTATATGGTTCATTACCTTTTTTGAAAACTATGAAGGACACAAAAATGAGTGAAAAATAATGACACAGAATGCTAACCATGTACCATTTACTAATTTTCTTCTCAGAGAACCTCTGAAAATGTCTTCTCAGTGAAAGCCTGTGCTTTCCCCCATACCGAGCTCTCTTCTTTCCTTCTTTCTTCTTTCAAACATCTACAAGTTGGCAGGCACCCCACTAATTCCTGGAGAAAATGTGCTGAACCAGATGGACATGACCCATGTCCTTATGGAGCTTATAGGTAATACAAAAGGCAGGCAGCCAAACAGATTGTCACCATAAAGAGTGGGGAATGTCTTGCCAAGCAATGTTTTGTTAAGCACTGGAATCCCTGAGAGGATTGTGTTAAGTTTCCTGAATCCTACATGGTACTATTTGTCAGAAGCTCTGGCGGCAAGACCAGAATATCTTCATTCTCTACAAGAATAAGTTTTGAGACCCTCAGCAAGGGGATCTGTATGCACCAAGGGAGCACAGAACAGGGGTGTGTGACCCTTCGTGGAATTCAGGAAAGACCTTGGCAGGGGAGTGCTTTTTCGCTGAATATAAAAATGAGTAGAGGGGGAAGATTGCGGGTGGAACACAGCGGTGTCATGGAAACCAGGAGACTAGTGATTCCAGAGGGAGGGATGAGTCCACATGCTGAGGGATCAATGTGTTTGGTCTGGGAGGGTGGGAGCTGAGGCTGTTGGAATAAATGGTGGTGGGATCTCACCTTAGAGAAGTCCCTGCAGAGCTTTGGGGTCGGGGAGCTGATTGCAATGAACTGAGGAATGAGCTGAAGGTGAAAACATGAAGACAATGACTTTGGGCTTTACTCTCAACCTGGTTGGGTGGGAAGGGGAGAGAGAGAGAATACATGTGGGAGGTATAGTCTCAGGAAATGATATTTCTTTTTAAGGTTTGAGAGATTTAGTTTTGCATCCTAACCAGTGACATGGGTTGAAAACAAAGAAGAAGATGGATAACCAGTGAAGAGAGATGTTGGGGAATGGATAGAGAGAGACAGAGGCTGAGAAATTCAGTGAGTTTGGAGAGGAAACCTGAGAAAAGGTGTTACCGACAAAGCTCTTTCCCGCAAAAGTAAGACGTTTCCGTCTTCTGTGCTGCAAAGCCAGTATGGTAAATCAAAAGTGAACTCTAGCTTTGCAGGCTGTATTCAATGGCCATGCAATTGAGAAGTGGGAACACGACTCGCAAATCTACTTCTCAGCTTCTGAGAGCCAGGAAGGCAGAGATCAGTCATCTTTAATGAAGGGATTGGGCATTAAAAACAACGGGAAGAATATTCATGTCTTTACTGAGAATGGGCAGTGTCCTCCTCACAGCCCCACTGCAGCTATCCTTCCTCTTTCTCCTTTTGTGGTTTCCTCTAGTCATTGTTACTGTGATTGTCAAAGGTCATGGTGCTGGGGGAGTGTCATTTAGCACAGAAATGATATTCTAATAAAGTTAGACGTTCTTCAGAGGTCAAGTGAGCTTTTCTCTTGGATACCACCGTTCTTAGCCTGTTTGGTCACAAGGGGAAATTTTGACCTCAGGCATCCTTTTTTCTAAAGATGAGCAGAGTTAAGCAGGGTAGAAATTCACCTAGGTCACGTAAGGTAGGCATTATTATGCTAGGTGACAAAGGGAAAATAATGCTAAAATAAAAATAAATGTGAGACAATATAAAAGAGAAAATATAGAAAGAAGATTAAGAGAACGGGAGAGACAGAAGAAAGGGTGCGGTTGAGAGTGTGGGAGGCAGGATGCCAGGCAGAGACACGAGAGGAAGAATGAGCAAACACAAAATGAGAAAGAGTAAGAATGTGAGAGTATCGAAGAAGAAAGATTTGGGAATGAGAGAGAGACAGAAAGTTAGACAGATAATGAAATCAAGTGTATAAGGACAGAAATTATAGCCAGGGAAAGCCTCGCCTTGCTTTTTGACACCAGAGAGGATAAAAATAATAGGTTTCATTACAGGTGGTTTGGAAAGAAAAGGGACAGAAGTTGGGTGGTTTCTACTTAATTTAACATTGAGAGAATTAAGAGCATCTGCTCAAAATGCAAGAACAGCTATGTGTGTTAGGTCATGTTCTTTGAGAAGCAAATTCAGACTTGCAAGTGGTTCCCTGGGGAGTGTGAATGGTCCCTGGAAAATCACCTGCAGGAAGGAGAAGGAAGGAGAGTGAGCAAGAGAAGTTGAACTGTGAAACCATGGCCATGGTGGACTTAGCCGTTCCTTGGGAGCTCAGAGCTAGGGTGGCTGCTAAGTTGTGCTGAGATGCCCTGAAAGGAGGTGAGAAGAGTGGGTCTTTGTTCCATTTCCGCAACCTCCCATCACCCAGAGATTGAATGCCAGTTGCTCCAGGAAGAAAGGCTAAGCTTGGATGACGCATCTCTCTTGGGCTAGCCCAAGGCAGTCACTGGGGAGGAACTTAATTCCATGATGTACATAGCGTTATCCCCATTTTGTAAATGAGGAAACAGAAGCTCAGAGCAATCTGGTAATTTACCCAAACCACACAGCTGGTTAGTGAGTTTAACAAGCTTCAACCCTTGCCTGATTGTTGCCAACATTTACTTGCAGTTTACTCTCTTATGCTACCAGAAACGTGATGAAATTTGACAAGGATGCATGCAAAGTTTTCATCTCAGACTAAGAAATTTGTTTCACAAGTTCATTCACTCAGTTGAAAAAGATGTAAGAATTAATTGACCAGAAACTCAATAATACTTGTCAATGTCATCTATCTACCTGGGTACCTGAAGAAGTTCAGGTTGCTTAAATACTTGATGAATGAATGAGAAAGAATGAAATCGCTTGGTGCATTAAGAAAAGTCTCGCGTCTGCATTGTACTTTATTCAAGGTTAAGCTGCATCAGTAGAGGAGATTGGATGTAACTCTGTGGGCCCTATTTTAAGAGCTTGACAAATTGGGAGTTGACCAGTCACTTTTGTAATGAGTTAGAATTCCATGAATGTACAGTCAGAACGAATTAATGAATTAGAGTGTAGTAATAGTAGTATTTTAAGAAAATATGATTTTCAAAATGATTTACAAGTCTGTCTGCCTGTACTGAATTTTGTTTTGCTTTCAAATTTCAAGTTTCAGTATTAAAGAATTAGTGCTTAATGAAAAAGGCTTTGGAACTTCTGTCTGATGACTGTTTTTGTGGCCTCGAGTAAGTCCCTCCCTCTTGGAGGTCTTCCTTATTTGTCTTTGTTCATGAAGATGTACCAGAAGAGTGATGTGATACTTTGTAGCTGTAAGGTTTTATTATTGAGTAAATTACTTATATGCACTTTTTGAAAAAAATTGCAACTTAAATGTAGCAATAACATCTACCTCATAGAATAACTAGTAGGAAAAATGAGATTAAATATGGAAAAAATACGTTTGTTGATACTTGATTGCATCTATTTTTTGTTGAAAACAGGACCACACCTTTGTTAGTCCTTGCTCCTTCTTTTAATTACAGTTTTTATTTCAAGGTAATTGTAGATTGACTTGCACTTGTAAGAAATAATACAGAGCCCCCTTCCATCCTTACGCAATGGTAACATCTCACAAAACTAGAGTACAATAATAATACAGCCCGGATACTGACAGGGAAACTCTGGGGACACAGAACTTTTATCTGGCTATCAGGAAGCTTCATGGTGTCTTTATGATAAACATATTTACTTCCTTTAACTTCTGGAAGCCACACATCTTCCCTCCATTTTTACTATTAGGTCATTTCCAGAATGTTTTATTAACAATTTGGGATCATATTAGAGCATTATCCTGGAATCACACAGTATGCAAAAACCTAGGGCTGGTTTTTTTCACTTAGCACAGTTCCCGTGAGGTTCCCACAAGTTGTTGCAAGCGTCGATAGTTTCTTTCATATTCTTCTTCCTAGGCTTGTCCAGCTTATTAGGGTTACAAAGAACGGATAGGATAAAATTTATATTAGGAAAGAATTGGAGTATCCAAGGGGTTTTAAACTGTCAGCAAACATGATCTGAGCAATTAAAACTCATTTTCTAAATAATCAAAATCACCACAATGTAAAATATCAGTTTTTTGGAGCTTCTCCAATATAGCTTCTTTTTCCTTTTCTTTGAGTTGTGAGATGCCATTCATTTTGTCTTACTCCAAGAAGCTTCATTAAACTTCCTAACTAGATAAGGATGTTCTTATTCTATGCACAGATTTTTGGGGAAGAAGCTCTGTCAGGGTCCCTAAATCAATCAGATGATTCATGTCTAGCTGGGCTGAAGTTGCAGGCACTGTGCTGCCATCCTCAGCAGAGTCTGTAATGGTGACGCCTTCAAGGCCGGTGACATCTCAGCCTCAGGGTTGTCCAACTGGTTGGACCAATATTCCCTGATTTATAAACACATTCACTTCCTTTGGCAACATATTGCTTATGAACTTTAGAATTTGTGGATAGTTTGCATAAGGAAAAATCTAAATTCCCTGTCACGCGCCTGCTGTGGTAATATGGCCATCTCCTTCTTTCTGCAGGTGCTTTCCCAAATTACCAATTTTTGTAGTTTTGTTTTTGTTTTTGTTTTTTCTTTTTTAAACTGAATGTATGTATTTGCATTAGACCATGCTTTTGTCATTCTTCTTCAAGATGGAACAGAGCTGTCTTGAGGCACTGGAATTTTTGCTCAGCAGGACTTGAATGGAAATGCTACATAAAAGCCACATGCTTTGGGTAGGGGGGTGGGGGTGGGCAAGAGAGCAGAGGGGCTGCTTTTTCTGTTATTGCTAATTGATGCCTCTATTGCTAGTGCTTTCCCTACTGGTCTTGCTAATGTTGTGCCATCACTAAAGAGGGCTTGGCAAACTCTGGAAGGCTCGCTTTCATTTTCTCTCTCCCAACAAGGTTGATTAAGGAATCGAGTTCCTAACATCCTACCAATTGTCCTTTTCCTTGAGGAAGTAAGGAAAAATAAAAACAGGATTAAAATGTTAGAGGCTTAATGAAAGATGTTTTAAATGATTTAGCAATTACAACAAAATCATGTAAAGGGTGGAAATGAAAACGAGGTTAAAATTAGGAATTTAAAAAATTTAAATCGCATATTGTTTCTAATTCTAGATTGCATTTATGGTTGTAGTTTGTTTTTTTTTTTCTTTTTTAACAAACCAATATTTTTTGTCACTTTTTTCATAAAAGTTGAAAGATTTTTCCAATTTTTGTCTTTTCACTTTTATTTATTTTGTAGTAAGGGATTACTACTCTACAGAGTAAAACTAACTGAAAAATCAGGAAAAAATACATTTTAAAATTCTTTCTCTTTTAATTATTCTGCTTTTATAAAAATAATTTAGTCATAAGAGCAGACATATTGTGGTTTTACCTTTCCGAAGACAAATATTACTAGCCATTTTCATGTATTGATGCATTTGATCTACTAATTTTAAAAGGGTTTTTTTGCCCACTTCTTGATGGGGTTGTTTGTTTTTTTCTTGTAAATTTGTTTGAGTTCATTGTAGATTCTGGATATTAGCCCTTTGTCAGATGTGAGTAGGTTGCGAAAGTTTTCTCTCATTTTGTAAGTCGCCTGTTCACTCTGGTGGTAGTTTCTTTTGCTGTGCAGAAGCTCTTTAGTTTAATTAGATCCCATTTGTCAATTTTGGCTTTTGTTGCCATTGCTTTTGGTGTTATAGACATGAAGTCCTTGCCCATGCCTATGTCCTGAATGGTAATGCCTAGGTTTTCTTCTAGGGTTTTTATGGCTTTAGGTCTAACGTTTAAGTCTTTAATCCATCTTGAATTGATTTTTGTATAAGGTGTAAGGAAGGGATCCAGTTTCAGCTTTCTACATATGGCTAGCCAGTTTTCCCAGCACCATTAATTAAATAGGGAATCCTTTCCCCATTTCTTCTTTTTGTCAGGTTTGTCAAAGATCAGACAGTTGTAAATATGCGGCATTATTTCTGCAGGCTGTGTTCTGTTCCATTGATCTATATCTCTGTTTTGGTACCAGTACCATGCTGTTTTGGTTACTGTAGCCTTGTAGTATAGTTTGAAGTCAGGTGGCGTGATGCGGAAGACATTTATGCAGCCAAAAAACACATGAAAAAATGCTCACCATCACTGGCCATCAGAGAAATGCAAATCAAAACCTCAATGAGATACCATCTCACACCAGTTAGAATGGCGATCATTAAAAAGTCAGGAAACGACAGGTGCTGGAGAGGTTGTGGAGAAATAAGAACACTTTTACACTGTTGGTGGGCCTGTAAACTAGTTCAACCATTGTGGAAGTCAGTGTGGCAATTCCTCAGGGATCTAGAACCAGAAATACCATTTGACCCAGCCATCCCGTTACTGGGTATATACTAAAAGGACTATAAATCATGCTGCTATAAAGAAACATGCACATGTATGTTTATTGTGGCACTATTCACAATAGCAAAGACTTGGAACAAACCCAAATGTCCAACAATGATAGACTGGATTAAGAAAATGTGGCACATATACACCATGGAGTCCTATTCAGCCATAAAAAATGGTGAGTTCATGTCCTTTGTAAGGACATGGATGAAATTGGAAATAATCATTGTCAGTAAAGTATCACAAGGACAAAAAACCAAACACCGCATGTTCCCACTCATAGGTGGAAATTGAATAATGAGAATGCATGGACACAGGAAAGGGAACATCACATTGTGGGGACTGTTGTGGGGTGGGGGGAGGGGGGAGGGATAGCATCAGGAGATATACCTAATGCTAAATGACGAGTTAATGGGTGCAGCACACCAGCATGGCACATGTATGCATATGTAACTAACCTGCACATTGTGCACATGTACCCTAAAAGTTAAAGTGTAATAATAATAAAATAAAATAAAACGAAAAAAGAAAGGTTTTTTTCTTCTAGGCTCATAATGAAGCGGGGTCTGTAATTTTGTTTGTTTTTGTGTGTTTCCTTTTAGTTTTATTTTTTAGGTCTTTGACAGACTTTGTTATCAAAATTACGTTAATCTCCTAGAACTACTTAGGCAATCTTTGCCCTTCCTCTATTTTCAAAAGATTTCTTAAAATACTGGGTTTTGTTGTAGTTGTTTTTAAATGCTCGGCAGAACTCACCAGTGAAACCATCTGGGCCTGTCATTTTAACTTTAAAAAAGTTTGTAATATCAAATATTAAATTTTTCTTATACGTCTGCTCAGATATTCTACCTTGTGTTAGTTTTAATAGGTTGTAATTTTCTAGGACTTTGTCCATTTTACCTGTGTGGTCATAATTTTGGGGAAAAATTTATTCACAGTATATCTTGTACGCTCTTTAATGTCCTTAGGATCTATAGAGATTTTGCATCTTTTATTCCTAATGTAGTTAATACATATCTCTTCTTTTTCTTGATAAGTCTCAGTAATCTTCATCAATTAATCTTTCCCCTAAAATGCCTTTGGCTTTCCTAATTTCTCTATTTGCCTTTTAAAATTTTATATATTTTTTTCCTATTAACTTCCTGAGGCAGAATCTTAAATAATTGAGTTTATATGGTTTTTCGAGTGTAATATAAGTATTTAAGCTACACACTCCCCCATGAGCACTACTGTAACTAAATCCAACACATTTTGATATGTCTTATTTTTCTAATTATTTGGTTTCAACTTTTTTTAACTTTATTTGTAACAATTTATTTGATCCATTGTGTATTCAAGTGTTTTGCTTGGTTTCCAGATATTTGGGGTCTTTAAAAAATACTCTTGTTACCTTTTCCTAATTTGGTCAGAGAAAATACTTTTTAGAATTTAAATGTTTTGGACTTCATTGAGAATTGTTGCATTGTGTAGCATAGTATCTATTTTAGTCCATATCTCCATTTGTCCTTCAAAAAATTTATGTATTCTGCAGTGGTTGGGTATAGTGTTCTGGGTCAACTAGGTCAACATGAGCACAGCTTCGGTTCCTTTCCGGTGGTTGGTAGGGGGACCCCAGTTCCTTGTCATGTGAGCCTCCCTGTAGGGCTAATTTAGTGTTCCCATGACACCGTGGCTGGAGTCCCCAGAAGGTGTGATCCAAGGCAAAAAGGAGGAAGCTGCAAAGCCTTTTATAATCATCTATATTCAGAAATCACAGTTTGTAATTCACACAATACCCTGTTGTTTAACCCTATCAAACCTATTCAACGTGGGAGGGGACCATAGAGCTTACCTGCTAGGAGACGAGAATCGCTGGGCGTATTTCAAAATGAGCTACCACAATGCTTGTCTGAGACTGTTCCTGCTGCATAACAAAACGCCACAGACTGGATAATTTATAAATAACAGAAGTTTATTTATCACAATGCTGGAGGCTGGGAAGTCTAAGATCAAGAGTTCAGCAGATTTGGTGTCTGGAAGCAGTCCAATCTCTCTGCTTCCAAAGTGTTGCATTCTTACTGAATTACCCAAGGGGATGAACTTTGTGTCCCTCCATGGCACAAGGGAGGCAAAGGCGAAAAGGGGATGAATACTGTGTGAAGCCTCTTGTATAAGGGCATTAATTTGATTCAGGAGGGTAGAGTCCCCAGAGCCTAATCACCTCACAAAGGCCCTGCCTCTTAATACTATCACCTTGGGTCTAAGTCTAAATAAGAGTTTTGGAAGTAAACAAACATGAAATCCATAGCAATACCTTTATTGAATTTTTATCTAGCTATCTGATCAAATACTTAGAGAGGGGTGTGGTAATTTAGCCCAGTCTTATTCACCTTATATTAAAATGAAACATTATTTTTCTCTCCTATGGCAGAAATGAAAGAATAGTCTTCACTGAAGAAATACCCATTTTCAGTGATTCTGTTACTTTTGTCTTGTCGTGCTAATAAAACTGATAAAATTTAGCTTCTAAACTCCAGAAAGGAATATAAAAACTATGACATCATACATAAATATGCAATACAGTTTTATCTTCTGGAGAAACCTATGTGTTGGACAAGACAGTCTTGATCAGTATCTTCTTTTGCAAGTAAGAAATTTGGAACCCAGAGAGCTTAATAAAACCTTATTGATCATATGTAACACATGGATAATGTATGTAATGGCATGATTACTCACCAGTACATTTTGGAAATTCAATATGTAGAATTCTGATACCTGTTTGTGTAGATTTTGCTTCACCTTTCACTTGTGAAGTACTCACGGGTAAGATCGTGCCTTACTCTTAGGTACACTGTAACCGTGGTGTGCACTTGTCAAGTAGGAGTCATTGTTTAAAAGCAGGCAGTGATGATGGGTTTTAAGGAGGAGACAACTATTACTACTGGGGAGCTAGAATGAACCCAAGTAAAGATTCATAGAAATGCATGGCTTGTAAATTGCAAACTGAGCAGGTGTACCTATGGGGGTGTATACATGGAACGAGTGAGGAACACAAACATGGAGACAGAGACTGTTGTCAGATGAGTCGTAGATTCCTAGCTGGGCCACTCACCACCCTTTTGATATCTAGAAAAAAAAAAAAACACCAATATTCGAACATAATTTTCTTAATCTTTAAATTATTTTTTATATTATTTTTACAACTCCATGAGAAGACACTGAGAAAAGGGGTGGAAAGGCAAGAATATGGCCCTTCTGCCCCAGCCTATGAAGATGGTATTCAAAGGGTCATTAGAAACATTCCATTATCCCTGGCTACTGTTTTCTCTCGTGATGTCACTCCCTGCTACTAACCTGATGAAAAGAGAACATGGGTTATTAATTGCATAAACTATTTTTCATCACTACAAAAATATCCATTGGGCTATTCATACTATGGAAAGAAAGCAAGTTTACTACAGGAATAAATTAATGTGAACCCACAAGAACGCTGAAACAATGTGTCTGTGTATCAATTTAGCTAATTCTCCATGAAGAAATCTTTAATGCTTTCCCTAATAAAGTGTTTTTACTTTAAAGTGAAGTACATCAATAAATATCTTCAGTGTTTTGGCATCAGATGTGCAGCTGTCTTCATTGTTTCAATAGGCACAATAATAATTTGCATGCTTTATGATGATAGAACTCAGAAGAATGGAGCTGCCTGATGGTGTTCTATATCCTGTTTTTAGCCAGAGTTAAAATAGACATGACAAAACTGAATAGAATGCCTGATTACAGATTACATAAATTATGGAAAGTATATTTCGTTCCAAGGGATGCAGACATTGCCTAGTCACAATTTGTTTATCTGCTCATGGTACAGTACTTGATAAACTCCTATACTTTATTCTCCATGGGCTATATCTACTCATTCAGTTGTTTCCCACCAAACAGTGGGCATGTCTCTATAGACTAAAACATTAGCTTATATTCAATTTATACTGTGTCTTTTTCTCTTTTATATGATCCAGTAGTTGAATAAAAATTGTCTCAAACACCACCCTATTTGAACCGACCCTGGTAATGAGCTGTATAAGTTCCATTCGGGACCACTCTTGTGGTCGGGTCCATACCTGGACACAACAAATCAGATGGGTGACATATGATACTGTTAATGCAACATTGTGGGAAAAAGTGAAGAGAAGATAGCTTTTCAACATACATATATATATATATATATATATATATATATATATATATATATATATTTATTATTATTATTATTAATTTTAGTAGAGACAGGTTTTCACTACGTTGGCCAACATAATCTTGAACTCCTGACCTCAAGTAATCTACCTGCCTTGGCCTCCCAAAGTGCTAGGATTACAGGTGTAAGCCAGTGTGCCAGGCCTGAAATTTAAATACAAGGGTTGCCTTAAAGCAATCTATGGAGAACAAATAATTTTAAACATTTATTAGCAAGAATACAGCAAGTTTTTTCTCAAAAGGATAGTTAGAAATACATGTGAAATACAGAAAAACTAAAAAAAAAAAAAATTATATTTCATAACGAAGATTTTATGTTTAAAAAGTTGGATATCAGCCGGGCGCAGTGGCTCACCCCTGTAATCCCAGCACTTTGGGAGGCCGAGGTGGGCAGATCACAAGGTCAGGAGATCGAGACCATCCTGGCTAACATGGTGGCACCTGTAGTCCCAGCTATTCAAGAGGCTGAGGCAGGAGAATGGCGTGAACCCGGGAGGTGGAGCTTGCAGTGAGTCGAGATCACGCCACTGCACTCCAGCCTGCGACACAGAGCAAGACTCCCTCTCAAAAAAAAAAAAAAAAAAAGTTGGATATCAAACTCATCATTATGGCACAGTTAGGTCTGCATTATCAATGCATAGTGCAATTACGTAATACGTTTATATGTGTAAGAAAATTAAAAGAAAAAAATGATGTAGAAATGCAGCAAAGAGTTGAAAATAGCAAACTGAATTGCCATTGGAAATTTGTAAGCTGATTTTAAAGTTCATTATAGCACTTTCCATGTAAATTATTTGAAGATTTCTCTCTTTGGCATGTAGGCATTTCTTACAAACATATTTTTTCCTACTCCCTACTGGTGGATTGCATTTCTTGAAATAGCGCTATTTTTTTCCAACTGAGAGATGAAAGAGGAATCGGAGAGCCTGGGGACACACATGCAGGGCGAGTATGGGTATGTAAAGGATTTTGTGATGATGGCAAGGTCTTCGGGAAGGACATTGCTATATTGGGCATCAATTACAAGTCAGAGAAAGGAAGGAGGCATATTTAGGCTCAATTTGGTTTATGTATCTGAAAATTCCCATGGAACAGAGTGAGAACAACTTTTGGAATGAGCTGAAAAATGCTTATCATAGGGCAATAGCATTGGGACAAGAGAATAAAGAGCAAATTTGAGAATGGTAAGAAACAAGAATTAAACTCTGTCTTAGGAAACAAATACATGAAAAAGATCAAATATACCTCCCTTTTGTCACCCGGGTGGATCTACTGACCTTGAATGACCAGCAGTTCAAGTGACAGCAGGAGGAATTTGATAGGCATAGCAGTGGTTTACAGGGAATGTGTTGTTTTGACCAGAGTGACTTCAGTGTGATGGTAAAAAAGTTAAACAATGCAAGTAAACTGAGGTGAAGCCTCAACTAGACATTTAAGAGTAATGATATGTATAGGATACTCAAATTAATTATTGCATATAAAAATTATTAAGAGCTTATTATAATAAAAGACTGAGGAACCATTAAAAGATACCTCTGATAAAAAATATAAATTATATATAATCTATATGTCTACCATATATATATATATATATATATATACACATATATATATATATAGGTGACAAATGGGCTTTTACAGTGGGAGGTGTCAGTAGAGAAATGGAGTAGCTGAAATTCACAGAGCTCTCATCTGGATTTAGAGACTTCTCTCTACACCAGTTTTTACCCATTGGGTGCAGTTGGATGCGTCATTTAACTTTCTTGACTTCATCATACTCATCACTAAAATGAAGTAGGGGCTTAAAATATATATCATTTATGACCAATTATATTGAGAATAAGGGTTAGATACCACATAGTACAGAATTACCTAGAGTTGCAATTTTTCTTACTATTAGCTGGAATTTATTCTTCATTCTGATGATATAATTCAGAGGAAAGTGTTATCCTTGTGTAAGATTTTTTTACTGATATCCATGTTATAGTTCAAAATTTCAGTAGTTCTTCAGACTGGAAAGATAATGGAAAAAATGAGAAAAGAGTAGCCTATCTTAAGTTAGCAGTTAAAGCAAAGGCATGGCTGGCCTTGCGTGATGGTGTATACTCTGATATGGTTGTTGTTCAGAGCCTGAAATGTGAGGTCATTCCCCAGGGTGGGTCAGGGCTTGGAGAGCCAGAGATGAGTAGCAGTGAAAGACAAGATATGGCTAAATGTTTTGTTTGGAGCACGATGCATAAGGCCTTGTTAGAGAATAATCCTTATAATAAAGGTAACAGGCAACTATCAAATGTTTTTAAGTTTAGGACATGAATCCTTAATATATTATTTCATTTTCTTTTAGCTATTTGTGTTTTAGGTATTCGTTTTTGGCTCTATTTGTTCATATATACTTACATTTCTAGTAATGAATTCAAAAACATCACCTGCTGTCACTATTACAGTTAAAATATTCCATAAACCAGAGAAAGTCTATGCTTATTGTATTAGTCCATTCTTACGCTGCTATAAAGAACTACCTCAGACAGGGTAACTTTTAAAGGAAAGAGGTTTGATTGACACACAGTTCTGCAAGGCTGGGAGGCCTCAGGAAACTTAAAATCATGGCAGAGGGAGAAGCAAACATATTCTTCTTCACATAGTGGCAGGAGAGAGAAGTGCCAAGAAACGGGGGAAAAGCCCCTTCTAAAACCATTAGATCTTGTGAGAACTCACTCACTGTCGTGAGAACACCATGGAGCAACCACACGCATGATTCAGTTACCTCCTACAGGGTCCCTCCCATGACACGTGGGGATTATGGGAACTGCAATTCAAGATGAGATTTGGGTGGGGACACAGCCAAACCATATCACTTATCTTTCCATAATATTTATAGGAATTAAAATATCCCCCCTCCACCCTCCCAGAGAAAGAAACAATTCTATGTTTTAAAACTTAGAGGGAAAGAGTACTGATTTATTTTCTTAGTATATATAAAGTACCAGTGGATTGGGAAAGATTCCAATTATAATTTCTGGGCTAGAACAGATATGAACTGGCTCCCTGAGGACAATAGCCTGCTTCCTTTTTCACTCTGACAACCATGAAGGACTGCTCTGTCATCACAACCTCTTGAGAAACCTGGCTAGGGTGGAAAAATTCTGAAAGGGACACACAACCTGAGAACATGCAAACCGTTTCTACATTGACAATTTTATATCTATAAAATGAATCCAGTGCTCCAAAACGTCTCACAAATCAAGACAATTTCCCCAACACAGTGTGAGTTATACTACAATAATAGATTAACTCCGCTATGCAGAACAAGGAATAAATTAATCATCGTTTAATATTTTACCAGTTACATATATTCTCTAAGGGGATATCTGACATTTTTAGTTATCAATTCCCACGAAATTCATTTGCCACTTTATTTTACCTGTAACAAGAGATTTGGACAGAAAACATTTACATTAGTATTAGCAGATATAAAATTTATTTTGATATTAAAAATAACATTTGAGTTTTTTCTGTTCTTTAGCATCAAAAAAAAATTCAGCACTTCATCTTAGAGAGCTCTATATTCTCTTAGGTGAAGGTATTTATGTTTTTATTTACATAAACATATATCAACAATTCATCTTTATTTTATAATACTTTGTTTTTTAGATTATCCTAAGTCCTTAAGCTGCACATACTAGAATGAAATATTATTTACATTTTAAATGTGCTACAAGGAAGGATTTTCAGCTTAGCAAAATTTAATCCTGCTTAGTTTTTCGTATCATTTTGATATTTACTGTATTCAACTTTGTTCTTTGTCTAATAATACTGAAGAAATATTATTCACTGTATGAGCATTATTTACTCATCATTCATACTGGGGTTATTACAGTGAGTAAAGACAGGCATGTCCCCATTTGTAGAGTTCATATCCCATTAGGGAAGGCAGACTCAAACTGTCACACAAAAATATAAATAAATTCAAAGTGTGGTGCCTTATCCAGAGAAACTACTTCTGCCACGTGGAAGTTTAAGAGGAGTGTGCATTCTGGAGGAGAGAAAAAAAACTCAGAAAATTCTACCAAGAAAAAGGCATCATGGAAATGATTATGTACCACAGTCATAACTAAAGAGAACTACTTTGCAAGCAATGTTTTTTTTTTGTTTGTTTCTTTTTCCTAAATCAATGAAATTAAATGGTCTGGAATCTCAATGTCATCTTTATACAAAATTTTAACGTACCATTGTCAATTATAAAAGGATGGATATTTCACATTAAAAGTGAGTTCTGCCCAAATGTAGGACAGTAGTTTGAAATGATTTGTGGTAGAATAATTTATGTCGGATCCTTTAACTTCCACTGGGAATATTTATGGTAGCTCATGTTCTCAAATATCATGTTTTGTAAAGTATCAAACTTTAGATTTTCATAATTGACTATAAACAGGTTTATGGACAAATGCTTCTCTGAAAGTAAATAATCATGTACAAAAAACTTAAATATATTCTATCTTGATGAGATAGACATTGAAAATACTGCTATCATTTATGGACTAAATACTACATTTTACATTCAGATGCCAAATACTGTTAATCTATAGTTTTTATTTTCTTTCATTGTTTAGCTGACACCGTTTCATGACTTTCTTTATGAAACAATTTGTTTTTGCTTTCTCTGGGGTTACAAAAAGCTGTATAATTTGTGTACAATTTAGCATAGTGACATTAACTAATTTGGACCATACAAGTTATGCATTATATGTATATGTTTACGTGGAGAGCATGATCAACTTAAAACCCATTTAAGCTCACTTAATAAATTATATTACAAAATTTGTCTATTCCATATCAATATTATAACAAAACTAAATGTCTAAAAGCAGAAGCAATAAATGCATTTTTCTTTGAAGTCATTAAAGCTTCCCAAAGCCAATGACAAAGATTTTATTATAGTGATTTATCAAAAGAAGCAACCGTCAAAAACCGTCTGTATAGATTAAGACTACTTGAAATATTTGTATAGCTGTAGACTAGTTATTGACTATATTACTGAATTTAAACTGTTTTAAACCCAACTATTAACAAAGCAATTTTCAACCAATTAATAATGAGGTAAATAATTTAGCAAAATTTTGTATTTGGGTTCATTTTCAAGTGTATAAATTGCTGAAATGGAAAACAGCTGGTGTCTATACAAGTCAATATTTGCATGTTGGTGAGTTACTTAGAAATAATCTAAATATAACTATACTTCAGAGAATTATTCCCCAGAATAAATTCATTAAAATTCAATTCATTTTGCTTTATTTATCTCAATACTGAAAAGTGAATATATCCCTCATACTGTAGGATTAATAGCATGGTTATTTTTATGCCATCTGGCACTAAGACACATCCCAGGTCCTCTGAAAGAATATTGGATGAGGACAGCCAGAAAATGAGGAGAAAATAGAATCTAAGTAAGACAGTCGCACAGAATAACAAATAGCTCCCAAAATTTCCCTCAGCTTCTTCTAAATTTACTTTTTTTAGCTTCATTAAGTACGACCTTGCTCTTATGTGACTAAGAACTGTCAGCTTTCACAATTCTTCATTTTGTAGTACTTCAGCTAAATTTCTTTACTCTCTTCTTTCAACTCTAATTTTGGCCTATTTTTACCTTCTCATCATTTAATGCACCTATTGCTTTTTATTTTTAAAAACAAGTTATTGTTGTGAGCGTTCTTTGAAGTGCTTCATCTCGATTTTTTCTAAAAGTGAAATCACAAAAGTTTTCATGTTCTGCCAATTTCTAGAATCATGATGGTAACAGGAAATAAGACATAGTGGATCATAAAGAGAAAACCAGAATGAATATTGACTATCATCTACGCTACACTTATAGGTGATAATTGGGTTGGTCCTTACATATAGAGTATATTGTGTAATTCAAGGCAAAATCTGATGTCACGAGCAAAATTTTAAAAACTTTTGAAAGAATGTTCTAAGTGGTAATATCCAAGGTTGTGTTGATTTGACTTTTTCCACTGTACATAGAGGTTGGGTTTATTTTCAAGCTTCTAAATTGTTGTAGTGGAAAAGACGGCTTTTGGGCTGCCTTGAAACCTATGAGCTTCATACTCAATTTCCATGACTGTGAGGCTCCATGTGAAGGAATTGCAGAGAGTAAGGCAAAAGTTGTAAACACTTTGTTCATTTCTGTATTCCCAATTCACAGAGTTGAAATCATTCTAGGAGATCCACAGAAATAAAGGGGAAGCCTTCCTTAATCATGTGGATGTTTAATTTTCAAAACATAAACACAGAAAACACAAACACATACAACCACAGAACCTCATATTTCTTATATATATGAAAATATGCACAATACTTAAAACTATGTGATTCCTGTTTAGAGCTTTCAGCAATTGCATGGATTATAGTCACAATTCCCTTCACTACAAGTGCGAAATAATAAAGTCTATCTCCCAGAGAAATAAGAATTGAAATAATATAATGGTGTAAAATGCTTGGTACATAGAATGCAGTAAACTAAAGGCAGGTAGCTATTATTGAAAACTAGTATTTGTACGTTTGTGTCAAGTAGAAGTAAATACATTTTGAAGGCAAAGGAAGGTATTTTTTTGTAAAAGTGCAATTCAGGATGGCCAAATAAACTCCTATGGGATTCAACCCTTCTTCACTTGCAACTGTGGATGAAATATAAAAATAAATACGTAAAACAGAAAAACACCTGGAAACTAGTAGCACTAGAAAGTTGAAAAGAAACAGGCAGATTCCGAAGGAGTTGAACAGCCTATAGCGAATCATCCATTTTTTGATTTTCAGGTCAAGCATGTCAGTGCTGGTGGCAAAACCAAAACTCTATCCTAACATCCACTTTCTTTCTGAACCAGCAAAACCACATCCACCAGAAAATGAGGGAGGAATCCCAGAAAGGAGAGCTCTAGACTGGAGAGCCCCACACTGTGGCTGCAGGTTCTGCCCAGACTTTGACTCTTGAGCTATGCCTAAGTGGAGCAGATTCCAAATGGGGTAGCTGAGGACAGAGGAGTTCCATGAGAGTGGATGTGCACACCACCCCCCCACAACAGGAAGTTTTCATTTGAATGCAACTAACTTAATTTCCTGCCAAGGAATAAAAAATAAAACCCCAAAGACGAAATAAATATATTCATCAACTTTTTGGAGGAGCATAACAGAGTCTAAAATCTCCAAAAATAAACCAAATTCACAATTCCAGAAACAACAACTAATCACTCCACATATTTCAGCTAGTTTAAAATAAAGAATTAAAAACTAAAAGGCCCCCAAAACTGAGACCAAGCTTGATAGGACACAGATGTTGGAATTAGCGGAGAAGGATTTTAATGCAGCTGTTATTACAATTATGCTTAAATAAGTAAAGGAAGCAATGCTCTTGGTGAAAAAAAGTTAGAAATATCAGGAAAAAAATAGGCGTTATAAAATGAAAATCAAATGAATAATTAAATATCTAAACTACAATTTTTTTTAAAGTAGGTTTACTTGGAAAGGCTTAACAGATACAAAATGACATAAGAGTTAGGGAGCTTGATGATGTTAGTCCAATGGAAATTATCTAATCAGTAGAATATAGAGAAAATAAGACTGAAAAAATATAACAAGCAGGGCGTCAGGCTTCTTTGGGACAATATCAGGCCTAACAGACGTTTAGCTGAAACTCCGGAAGGAGAAAGAGAGGGAGAATAAGGGAGAAACTATCTTTAATGTACTAATGGATGACATTCTCCAAATTTGGAAAAAAAAGAAAAAAAAAGACTCAAGAGTCTCTGTAAACTGAAAGATAACTGCAAAGAAACCATAACCATGTACACCACAGCCAAACTGCTTCAAAAGAGACAGAGAAAAAGCTTGAAAGCAGCCACAGAAAATGGACGCATTACATACAGGAAACAACAATTTAAATTATTGCTGATTTTACATCAAACACCATGGAGGCCATCCATAGAAAACAACATCATTAAAGTGCTAAAAGCAAAAAGAAAGTAAACAAAGCAAAAAGGAACTGTCAACCTAGACATTTATATCACGTGAAAACAACCTTCAAGAATGAGGGTGAGTCAGAAAATCAGAGGAAGCTATGACAGCTTATGAGAGGGTGTCAGTGACAGGCTCGTGGTGGAGGAAATGCTGAGATGGTTGCTCGGGCTTCATGGAAACAACCTGTGGTGAAAACTTGGATCTTCAGTGACGAATAGAGAGTGTTATAGGTGGTGGCCGGGCACGGTGGCTCACGCCTGTAATCCCAGCACTTTGGGAGGCCGAGGTGGGTGGATCACGAGGTCAGGAGAACGAGACCATCCTGGCTAACACGGTGAAACCCCGTCTCTACTAAAAATACAAAAAAATAGCCGGCCGTGGTGGCGGGCGCCTGTAGTCCCAGCTACTCGGGAGGCTGAGGTGGGAGAATGGTGTGAACCCGGGAGGCGGAGCTTGCAGTGAGCCGAGATCCCACCACTGCACTCCAGCCTGGGCGACACAGCGAGACTCTGTCTCAAAACATTATAGGTGGTAAATATTTTGGTTAATATAAGAAGACATTTTCTCTGAGTTTCTTTAAAGTGCATGAGACTTTTTAAGTAAAAATAACAACATTATGTTTTAGAGTTTGAATTGCATGTTTGTAATATATATGATAAGCATACCAAAAAGAAAAGACAAGAAACACAGAAAAAAAGAGGTTTGGTAAATGCACCTCTAAAATTGCATTCTTTATACATTTTAAAAAAAATAAAATTGGTGTAATATTTACAAGAAGACTGAAAAATCTTGGGTGTTTCTTTAATTCCAAGAGCAAACACTAAAACACTGCGAAAAGTATAGTTAAAACACCAATAAGTTAATTAAAAAAAATTCTTAAGAACATTGAACATTCTAAAGGAAGGCAGGAAAGAACAGAAAAACAAAAGTAGAGAAGACAAACAGAAAAAATAATACTGCAATTTTATACAAAGTGGTAAAAAACAAAAACAAAACAAAACAAAACAAAACACCTTACTGTTGCAGTACCGGATAGAAGACTTTTGTAGAAGTCTTCATTTCGATATTCTTTCAGTAGTGAGTTGTCGAGTAATTACGTGTTTAACACCAAAACAGGAGTTTGGAAGATAAAGGTGAAGTAGACAGCATTCCTAAACTCAAGGTGCCTAGAGTTTAGTGGGAGAAAGAAAGGGAAGTATAACATGAGAATGCAATCCAGTCGGAGAAACAGGAGCCATGGCCCAGGAAGCTGCAGAGGCTTGAGGGGAATACAGGCCAGATGGTATTACGCTGTGGCCACTGGCCCAAGATACATCTGCATGGATGCCTGTGAATGGGAGGCGGAGAGGGAGGGTGGTAAGAACAAATCATCGATCATTAGCAAATGTCAGGCTGTCTGCACATTTACTTACCTAGAGATAATATCCTGCGAAAGACAAAACTGTATTTCCTTTACGGTGAATATCATAGATGCTCATGGAAAACTCGGAAAACTCAGAAAACAGACGAAAGCATAAAGTAAAAATCACCAGTGGTTCAACTACCTGTAGATAAGAGTTGGAATTTTGTTGACTTTCAGTTTTTAAAAATGGTCAAAAAATAATGACCTCCTACTAGACAAAGAATTCACAGTAATCTTTACCAAAATTTTTGATTTTCTCATCTGTATGACAATTTTACATTCACGCCTCAATCAGAGTATGTGGTTTTATGCCTACCCATCATAGTATATATTTGCAACCAGTCTCCTATGAACAATATTGTAGTATTTCCCTTCAGGAAATCAAAATGGAGTCCATGACAAAGTCTAATAAAATTGTTTTAAGAAGGAGTAAATAGTCTATAGAAGGAAAGAATAAAACATAAGCAAAGTAAAAATCAACTACTGGGTTATCTTTCCAAGCCATTCAACGTTTGAACAAAGGAGAAAACTTAAATTGTAAATTTTGCTAAGAATTTCTCCACAAAATTATAATTATTATTTGGTTATTATAACCATATTTTTACATACATAATGCAGTGCCTAACTAGATGGTGGAGCTGCATTTTGATACAGTACATGAATGTCACTGATACCATGAATTCATGTCAGTAGTTTTATTATGTAATATTCTAATCTGTTCAGAAAATCATTATTTTATGGTACAGAAATACACAGCGCAGGCATAGTTATTTCTTTTTTCCCCACTAGATATCTTGAAATGAGAATAATAGTTTTATCTTTTCCATTTTTTTTATCTTAAACTCACAGTTCCACTGATATGGTAACATTATATGAACTAGATATGTTTTCTGCAATCATTACAAACACCTCATTTGAGAAGGTCCAGTGGCCTCCAGAGGATACATTTTATGTTTCTGCATTTTGTGTCGTAAAAACTAAACCTGTTTTGTTTCTGTAATGATGCTATGTGTTATGGTGTCATGAAAGACTTCTTTCTAAAAATATACATTTAATTTTCTGTAACCGTGCTTTTCATGTCTCTCCCCAGTGTGAAATAAAAGTCACACTCCCATGGCTGACAAATAAGATCCCCTCTCTGCTTTGAGCCCCACTCTCATGCTGGCCTCACAGCTCTCCCGCAATACACTGTCCTCCAGCTACAAAGTAGACTTCTCAACTCTCCGAGGAGGGCAACCTTTGAGGGGTTCTCCTCATTTTCTTCTGCTTTTAACACTGCACGGAAGATTTTTCTGCCCTTCTGCCACCCCTTTCCTAAGAAAACCCTAAATGACTCTCTATAGACCCTTCTGTGTGGCTCTGCAAGAAGACACTCACTGTTGTGTCCCTTTTTTTCTTTTTTTCTTTTTTGAGACGTTGTCTCCCTCTGTCGCCAGGCTGGAGTGCAGTGGCATGATCTCGGCTCACTGCAACCTTCGCCCCCACTCAGGGTTCAGGTGATTCTCCTTTCTCAGCCTCCCAAGTAGCTGGGATTACAGGAGCGCACCACCATGCCCAGTTAATTTTTGCATTTTTAGTAGAGTTGGGGTTTCATCATGTTGGCCAGGATGGTCTCCATCTCTTGACCTCATGATCCGCCCACCTCGGCCTCCCAAAGTGTTGGGATCACAGACATGAGCCACTGTATCTGGCCCCATTTTAGTAATTCTGTTTACAGGAAAACGTTCATACAATTAGTTGTCCAAAGAATAACACGTTCCTTTATCAAATTACACTATCTAACATGGAAAGTTTAATATTCCACAGGACAAGTTAGGTGGTGAGACTGCATTTTATTCTTTTTGAATGAAATCAGTTTATGTAGGGTCATTTTGGATGAATAAAAGAATTGATAATTAATAAACAAAAATGCTGTTGTTGAAACTTATTCTGGCTTTAGGTACATGTAAAGCTATACAACAAAATTAAGTTAAATGCATTTAAAAATTTTGAAATTAAAAAAAAAAGTAATTTATTTCATGTGAAAAGAACTGATATACCACTGTATAACAATAATAAATTCTCTGGGAAATATTCATTAGTCTAGGAAATACTGTTTTTCTACCAAAATCCAGTTTAACTCCCGAATCACTTTAAAATTCCCTGAATTATACCTTACTTGAAAACGTTACTTAACGAAAATTTAGTATGGCGGAGATTTGAAAAAATTCTATCTCGGCTATGATTCTTAGTTTTCATAATTATCTGTCTTGAACATCTGACTTCATGTAGAAAAAAGATGATAAAATAGATGCAAAGACGGAGGATAGCCTTTCACCCAGTATCTTTCATCCTTGCTTTCCCTTTGGTTTTGCATGAAGTGACTCTGTGGAAACACATTTGAGGAAAAAGAGCCTTGTACCCTTCTCTGTGTCTGAATTTCAGTCTTCGCCATGTGGCAACACTTGATTTTCATCATACACAAAACTAAGAGCTCATGTTGTCTTGTTTCTCAGTTGTGGAGTTGCTTTAGAATATACTCATTAGGTTCCACCCTGAGGGTATTTACACAATACAAATAGCATTTGTCACTTTACTTAAAGCATAATGTTATAGTTACGTTTGTTCTGTGAGGCTGTGTTAAATCAGCAGTGATCAAGGCTACTGTGTGTGTTTGTGAGTGGGTGTTGTCGCTTTCGCTTTTGGAGCACAGGCAGAGCTTGCATTCGTTTCTCGCCCCTTTCCGTATTTGCTTGTGGTTTGGATTGCATCTCAGTCTTCACTCTCGTCCCAAACAAAATATACTATCATCTAATTTCAGGTTGGATAGAATAGAAATGTTCTTGGTTTGATGAGCAAAAACATCCACAAAGAGCTGTTAGTGGTTAGTAATGTGGTACATTTCCCTTCTGGGTATAATCACGTGAACTACAATTACCACATCATGTAACAAGTCTTTAATGGTAAAATTTCAGGTAGATACATTTAGAAATAATACAAATTGTTTTCTATCAAGTCAATAGATTAATTAATGCTTACATCATTTATTTGGAAAATATTATCGGGTAGCTAGCATGTGCAAGGCACTCTGTGGTGTTCTGTAAAATTAAGAGGACATGCCAAACATCCCTGCGCTGAGTGGGACTTAGAAATACACACATACAATGACAGAACGGGCTAGGCAGCAGAACACCTTTAAGAGCCAGACATAAACGGTTAAGGTCGTACAGAGAAAGAAGGGATACCTCAGAGGTGCAGTGGGAACAGGAGACAAAGAAGGAAGGAGGCGTTGCCCATGACTGGCAGTTGAAACAGTCCCTAAGGAGAGGTGAATGTGAATCTTTAGAAATAATGGGTGAGTCTTCCAAACAGAGAAAAGAGCTTGAACAAAGGCTCAGGAGGGGAAGCTCAGAACTGTTTTCATTGTTTTGTAAATGAGCCACCTATTCCAGGCTTTCCCATTCCTTTCTTAGGGCTCCTTCTGACTTCCTCCAAGGATATTCGTGGAGAAGGGTCTCCTTCCCCTATTTTATTTTTCACCCAAATTGGACGAACATCAATGATTTGTCAGTTTTCTCTAACTCTCATTTTTCCCTGGGCCACTTTGTTCTTCTTTGAGCAGTCTTTCTTATGGAAGACAGTGAAGGAAAACTTTGGGTGTGTGTGTTTTAAAATATATTCCAAAAAAAGAAAACTCCTCAAGCAGTACAGTTATTTTCTGGAATTCTTATTTGCTGTAGTTCCCCAAATATTTAGCATTTATGTGTTTGGTGATAGAGCCTATGTTTACATAACCTAGCACAGATACATGTGGTGTTCCTACTTTTGATCTTCCAGAAGTTGGTAGTGTCATGGCTAAAAGGCATTGCCTGGCCTTGGTGCATGAGCTTCATTCATGAGTCTCCTTTACATAGCATTTGAGCAAGAATACATCTTTTAGCAGTGAAAAAAGATTAGCTACTATCAAGAAACATACAGTTTCTTGATACCGTAACTTCACTTTGAATCAGTGTCATGACCTTTGTATTAGCTAATGTACATTCAGTAAAAGAAAAGCCAAATTTCCTATTATATTGATTCAATTATTCTCTAGAAGTTTTACAAAATGAAAAATTTTTAAGACTGTAGGACCATAAACTTTTACTAACTATCCATGACTTTGGTGAACACCAGCCTTATTCTGGTTAAATGTAAAAGTTCAGTGTGCTACTGAGGGGGATGGGGAAGCACTGCCCAACAGAGTCAGTGGTTCTTGAAATGTTAACTGCACTGTAATTGTTTATGTGTTTAGGACTATTTTCTTTCATAAGAAGTTATGAATGGTTTGTATCAGAAGTGTTTTGTGTAAATAGTGTCAGTAAAATGTAATTTTTAAAAAACTCTAAAAACATAAACTAGAAAATGACATTTTTAAATCTTCACAATTTTTATATTCGGTAAAATTATAATCAGTAATTTTTAGCACATTTTAATCATTTCAGATTTTTTTTAAAAATGAACAACTTAAGTGGATTTGATGAAAACTGACACAAAAGTTAGTGAATGCACAGCGTTAAATCTAGAGGTAAGGTTTTTTTTTTTAAGCCTAGGTCCTATTCTCAATGGAATTGACCACTTTGTGAGGAAACCCATGTAGATACACACATTACAAACACAGTACACTTACATCACATTATTGACATGATATAGATATAAATAACAAGATCACCGGGAGTACAGGAAGGCTGTTTCTAAATGGACTGGATTGTTTCCACAGCAGTACTGAGAGATCTCGGTTGTGAAGGTTGAGTACGGATACTGGGGGTGACCAACACGCCAGGGCAGCAGCAGTGTTGGAGGGGAGAATACAGAGTGTACCTGCCATAGAAACCATGTATGTGAAGGCACAGGTGTTGGGAGCCTTGCCACGTTCGGAAACGGCAGTTGTATGACAGGGTGGAAGTAGGAGCTGTGTGTTGACATCGATGCACCCCTCATGGGTGGCTTCACTTGGATGTTATCCCTGCCTCACATTTGCAGGCACATGCAGCTCTAGACAGCTACAGTTTTGATATATGAAAATTTAAAACTTGGGCAAAGCCCGCAGAAGCTTACTTATTCTCTACCTTCTCAACATTGAGGGAGAAAACAACTGCAGAAAACCCTAAACAGAGATACAATTTGTGAAAGAGAGCAGGTGACTATGAAACACCATATGGAGCCCAGGAACATTGCAGGATATAAAATATGGTACGATAAAAAAGGGAAGACTGACGTCAAGTATTTCCATCAGCGAATGACCACTGGGATGCAGAAACAAATCTGAGCCATGGTGAAAGCTCCTAATGTCTTTAGTTTGCACTTTTCATAGTCAAACTTTTGAACTTTACATCAGAGGCAGAAACAATTTTCTAGGACCCTTTGCTGCAGGAGAGTAGATTCGCATTTCACATGGGCTTCACACTGCGCACTTCTCAGGAGCCCTCACTCTCAGCTGGTGTCAGTTGAGCATCTGAGGCTTCTTTAGGTACACTCATTTCCCCATTTTCCCAACACACACTCTCTTTTTGTTTAATATTTTATGATTTAATGAAATCTGGATGAAAGATGATTTATCACCTACATCATTGTGCACGATTTGATATTTCAGCTACGTGTAAAATGCTGATGTGACAAAGTCATAGTCTACTCCTGGTTCCTTCTTACCACATTCAAAGTGCTCTCAGATAGATGCAGGTTTAAGTGGAACTGAATGAAGAAGTAGATATGAAATTTAGATTCAAAATAAAAGGCACTTCCCATTTCTAAGGCAGTGGACTCCTTACTTAGGTAGCATGCCTGGTCCATGCTTATCCTTCCTGGTAGAATGCCCCTCAGGGAGGCAGCACCTGATGTGTCCACTGCTGGAAGCCGCTGAACTGGAAACGTACGTGGCACCTTGTCAGTGCCAAGGAATATTGCTTAAATTAATGGCTGGTTCTTAAGGAGTATTTTTCTTGGTATTAAAACTGTGGCACACAGAATAGTTCTGTTTTGTTTTATTTAATAGACGCATATAAGACATGGTATATGCCAGGCATTGTTCTAAGGACATTGTATTCATTTAATAATCATAATTTAAATATATACTATAATCTATATAGTTTACTTGTCTGATATTTAAATTTTTCATACACATTTTCTTTAAACATAATTTTTATTTTATCTTTAAATTATTTTTTACATTGTAACTAATTTTTCTTTTTTGGTTTTTTTGTTCTATGTAATAACTGTACATATTTATGGGATACATGTGATATTTTGAAATATGCACACAAAGTCTCATGATCAAATCAGGATAATTATGATATCCATTACTGTCAACATTTATCATTTCCAAATCTTCTAGGCATTTTGAAATACACAATAAATTATTAGCTATAGTCAACTTACAGTGCTATCAAACATTAGAACGTTTTTCTTCTCTCTCATATATTTATCCCTATTAGCCAACGTTTCTTCCTAAATTATGTAACTAACAGTATCTCTTAATAAGTGTCTGGATTACCTATTTCCTTATTCCTTTATCTGGATGATGTTGTTAACAGCTTTTTATATAGAAGAATTTTTTTTTTTTGCAATGATCAGTAATATTGCTGCAGTTTACTCTTCAGTATTACGTACAGGCTTTCATTTCTCTTGGCTGGTAGGGTTTTGACACACAAAGACCTAAAGTCAGACATCCGTGATGCTGACAGATACTGGGTTTGAACAATCAGATTTTACTGAGCATGCAGAACCTGCCTTTTTTTTTTTTTGAATTTGATAATGCTGATCAGGAATAATGACAGTGTGGCTTTGCCATCATGGGTCTTGCACAAGGAATCTGTGTTTCTGCACGTGACTACTGAATTGAAATCTAATAAGTGCTGTTTTTCCAGCTTTAAGATCAGATCTGGGACGTATCACTGAAAACTTTTATAGGATATGTTTCACGAAATGTTGTTCATGTCAATGCCACAGGTGATTTAAAATACATTTCCCCACTTAGAATGGTTATTGTTTATTTATTTGTAGTGCATTTGATTCTGACATTGTGTCAGATATCTGAGATTCTTAGAAAATTTCTAGAATACGTATGTACAACCGATTGGTCTCATTGCCCTCTTATTGCTTGAGAAAAAGCCATTGTCAAATGAAAATTCTTCTGCCACTCTCCACCCTGGACCATATTATTTAGAAGTCCCCAGTTGACATGCTCTATTCTGCCAACTTTGGTTTTATTGCAGCATTTATGACATGATGACTCTGAGGAAATTAGACTTGTGTGAACCTGGCCCGTAGCTTGGAATGCCTTTCCTCACTCCCGTCACTTGGCAAGTCTTGCGTGTTTCTGGTATCAGTGCATATCATGAGCCTCCACTGACCCTCTGCTGACCCTCCATGCATTCTCTGTGATGCTTTGCCATTCTCCTGGCACCTGGCTCCACCACGGCAGCTGGCACTCTGCATTTTCACCACCTGCGTGCTCTCCTCCCCACTACACCTTGACCTCTCAGACAGGGCAGCAGGGGGTTTGGCATCCCCTGACTAAGATAATGCTGATGAAGAATCTTTCGTTAGTCAGTAATGCATAATTGATTTATTTATTCACTTTACCAGTATGCTCAGAAGTTGTCAAGTCATGGAAAGACTGACCTACATCTATACAGTGTATATTTCTTCTAAAGTGAAGCATCATTTAAAATAAATAATCAACTGCAAATGGAGAACTCCTTTTTAGGTACTGAACATGCAGAGAGGTGACTCACTCATTAGAATAATTAATTTGGTAAGGAATAAATGTAAGATACTTGAAAAATCATAAAAGATATTTCACACCATCACGAAACAGTCTTTCCACACAGTCCATCCTCCCTTGCAGAATCTGTCTGGTAAACAGGTCCTAGTGTCTGGAACCAGACAACTTCCTTACCATAGTCAAGAGCATGAGGGTTATTATTCTGTAGGCTTTCTTCACTGCAGCTTCTCCCACATTCCCTACTTACTTTACAGTTTTTATTTAAACTCCTTTTGCCACCTCTTTGGTTTCTTATCCATTTTCAGGGAGCTATAAAAGTTTCACAGGTTGGAAGAGTGCTAGGAAGCTGATTTAATCTGTTGTGCACTTACTTCATTTCATTTTTTAATTTTTACTTCTACTTTTCTTTGTCTCTGAATTTTTAGTGGTTCCTTGTTAAAGAAATTCTTGTATGATAAGATGTACCTCTCTGTGAAGTCAATATTCCATGCCTGTGTCTAACTTAGAACAGCTCCTCTTTCCTCTCTAATCAGCAGGGCTGGGTTCCTAAAAGGGCTCATGTTAGAACTGCAGCTGAGGGATTTTCCATCGTAAGGGGCAAGGATGGGGATGAGATGAGCCTGCTGGAGCCCATCTTTATATTCTCCATAAGATATCAACAAAAATAATACAACAAACAAATTAAATGTAGATGGCATTTTGTACATCATAAATTAATCACAATGGGTATTGTGAAATTAATTCTCTTTTTTGCTTTGCTTGCTCACAAGCAGCTTGTCTTATCTCTTTCCTCCACACTTTCAATGAGAAGCTTCTATGTTGGTTTCTTCTACTGCAAATGGGAAACAGGCTTAGTGGGAGTTTTATTTTTTGCCTTTGTTTTCTTCCTGTCTGGTCATCTAACCTTACATGATTAATGCATTTCTGATTTTAGTCCTTGCCCCATTCCTACCTTTTTTTAATCTCAGGGTCCTGTGTGGTCCCACATAGGTAGAATAACATGAATAGCTGTGATGCTTTGAGCACATCTTATTAAAATTCCCATGTGGAGGAGCAGGCATTTCTCAGGCCTTATCTATGTTCATGCCAGGTGCCGCTTCTCCTTTGCAGATCCTCCTCCAGTAGCCCCATCGCTAAGGTGGCTGGGACAGTTCCGAAACCCAGAATGACCTTCCCCTGGAACTCATTCGCACTGTTAACCATTGCAGAGGCCACACTCCTTCTCCGACATCCCCTTTGTTTTTCTATTCTAAAACCTCAGCTCCTTCCTTCTCAAATAATAACAAGCATCATTAGAAATTCACCAATATGGCCAGAACTTCCAACACTATGTTGAATAGGAGTGGTGAGAGAGGGCATCCCTGTCTTGTGCCAGTTTGCAAAGGGAATGCTTCCAGTTTTGGCCCATTCAGTATGATATCGGCTGTGGGTTTGTCATAGATAACTCTTATTATTCTGAGATACGTCCCATCAATACCTAATTTATTGAGAGTTTTTAGCATGAAGGGTTGTTGAATTTTGTCAAAGGCCTTTTCTGCATCTATTGAAATAATCATGTGGTTTTTGTCTTTGGTTCTGTTTATATGCTGGATTACATTTATTGATTTGTATATGTTGAACCAGCCTTGCATCCCAGGGATGAAGCCCACTTGATCATGGTGGATAGGCTTTTTGGTGTGCTGCTGGATTCGGTTTGCCAGTATTTTATTGAGGATTTTTGCATCAAACTTCATCAAGGATATTGGTCTAAAATTCTCTTTTTTGGCTGTGTCTCTGCCCGGCTTTGGTATCAGGATGATGCTGGCCTCATGAAATGAGTTAGGGAGGATTCCCTCTTTTTCTATTGATTGGAATAGTTTCAGAAGGAATGGTACCAGTTCCTCCTTGTACCTCTGGTAATATTCGGCTGTGAATCCATCTGGTCCTGGACTCTTTTTGGTTGGTAAGCTATTGATTATTGCCACAATTGCAGCTCCTGTTATTGGTCTATTCAGAGATTCAACTTCTTCCTGGTTTAGTCTTGGGAGAGTGTAGGTGTCGAGGAAATTATCCATTTCTTCTAGATTTTCTAGTTTATTTGCGTAGAGGTGTTTGTAGTATTCTCTGATGGCAGTTTGTATTTCTGTGGGATCGGTGGTGATATCCCCTTTATCATTTTTTATTGCATCTATTTGATTCTTCTCTCTTTTTTTCTTTATTAGTCTTGCTAGCAGTCTATCAATTTTGTTGATCCTTTCAAAAAACCAGCTCCTGGATTCATTAATTTTTTGAAGGGTTATTTGCATCTCTATTTCCTTCAGTTCTGCTCTGATTTTAGTTATTTCTTGCCTTCTGCTAGCTTTTGAATGTGTTTGCTCTTGCTTTTCTAGTTCTTTTAATTGTGATGTTAGGGTGTCCATTTTGGATCTTTCCTACTTTCTCTTGTGGACATTTAGTGCTATAAATTTCACTCTACACAGTGTTTTGAATGTGTCCCAGAGATTCTGGTATGTTGTGTCTTTCTTCTCTTTGGTTTCAAAGAACATCTTTATTTCTGCCTTCATTTCGTTATGTACCCAGTAGTCATTCAGCAGCAGGTTGTTCAGTTTCTGTGTAGTTAAGCGGTTCTGAGTGAGTTTCTTAATCCTGAGTTCTAGTTTGATTGCACTGTGGTCTGAGAGACAGTTTGTTATAATTTCTGTTCTTTTACATTTGCTGAGGAGAGCTTTACTTCCAACTGTATGGTCAATTTTGGAATAGGTGTGGTGTGGTTCTGAAAAGAATTTGTGTTGTGTTGATTTGGGGTGGAGAGTTCTGTAGATGTCTGTTAGGCCCGCTTGGTGCAGAGCTGAGTTCAATTCCTGGGTATCCTTGTTAACTTTCTCTCTCGTTGATCTGTCTAATGTTGACAGTGGTGTGTTAAAGTCTCCCATTATTATTGTGTGGGAGTCTAAGTCTCTTTGTAGGTCACTCAGGACTTGCTTTATGAATCTGGGTGCTCCTGTATTGGGTGCATATATATTTAGGATAGTTAGCTCTTCTTGTTGAATTGATCCCTTTACTATTATGTAATGGCCTTCTTTGTCTCTTTTGATCTTTGTTGGTTTAAAGTCTGTTTTATCAGAGACTAGGATTGCAACCCCTGCCTTTTTTTGTTTTCCATTTGCTTGGTAGATCTTCCTCCATCCTTTTATTTTGAGCCTATATGTTGGAAGTTCTGGCCAGGGCAATTAGGCAGGAGAAGGAAATAAAGGGTATTCAGTTAGGAAAAGAGGAAGGCAAATTGTCCCTGTTTGCAGATGACGTGATTGTGTATCTGGAAAACCCCATTGTCCCAGCCGAAAATCTCCTTAAGCTGATAAGCATCTTCAGCAAAGTCTGAGGATACAAAATCAATGGACAAAAATCACAAGCATTCTTATATACCAATAACAGGCAAACAGAGAGCCAAATCGTGAGTGAACTCCCATTCACAGTTGCTTCAAAGAGAATAAAATACCTAGGAATCCAACTTACAAGGGATGTGAAGGACCTCTTCAAGGAGAACTACAAACCACTGCTCAATGAAATAAAAGAGGATACAAAGAAATGGAAGAACATTCCATGCTCATGGGTAGGAAGAGTCAATATCGTGAAAATGGCCATGCTGCCCAAGGTAATTTATAGATTCAATGCCATCCCCATCAAGCTACCAATGAGTTCCTTCACAGAATTGGAAAAAACTACTTTAAAATTCATATGGAACCAAAAAAGAGCCCACATTGCCAAGTCAATCCTAAGGCAAAAGAACAAAGCTGGAGGCATCACCCTACCTGACTTCAAACTATGCTACAAGGCTACAGGAACCAAAACAGCATGGTACTGGTACCAAAACAGAGATATAGATCAATGGAACAGAACACAGCCTGCAGAAATAATGCTGCATATCTACAACTATCTGATCTTTGACAAACCTGACAAAAACAAGCAATGGGGAAAGGAGTCCCTATTTATTAAATGGTGCTGGGAAAACTGGCTAGCCATATGTAGAAAGCTGAAACTGGATCCCTTCCTTACACCTTGTACAGAAATCAATTCAAGATAGATTAAAGACTTAAACGTTACACCTAAAACTATAAAAACCCTAGAAGAAAACCTAGGCATTACCATTCAGGACATAGGCATGGGCAAGGACTTCATGTCTATAACACCAAAAGCAATGGCAACAAAAGCCAAAATTGACAAATGGGATCTAATTAAACTAAAGAGCTTCTGCACAGCAAAACAAACTACCGTCAGAATGAACAGGCAACCTACAAAATGGGTGAAAATTTTCACAACCTACTCATCTGACAAAGGGCTAACATCCAGAATCTACAATGAACTCAAACAAATTTACAAGAAAAAAACAAATAACCCCATCAAAAAGTAGGCGAAGGACATGAACAGACACTTCTCAAAAGAAGACATTTATGCAGCCAAAAAGCACATGAAAAAATGCTCACCATCACTGGCCATCAGAGAAATGCAAATCAAAACCACAATGAGATACCATCTCACACCAGTTAGAATGGCAATCATTAAAAAGTCAGGAAACAACAGGTGCTGGAGAGGATGTGGAGAAATAGGAACACTACACTGTTGGTGGGACTGTAAACTAGTTCAACCCTTGTGGAAGTCAGTGTGGCGATTCCTCAGGGATCTAGAACTACAAATACCATTTGACCCAGGCATCCCATTACTGGGTACATACCCAAAGGACTATAAATCATGCTGCTATAAAGACACATGCACACGTATGTTTATTGCAGCAGTATTCACAATAGCAAAGACTTGGAACCAACCCAAATGTCCAACAGTGATAAACTGGATTAAGAAAGTGTGGCACATATACTCTATGGAATACTATGCAGCCATAAAAAATGATGACTTCATGTCCTTTGTAGGGACATGGATGAAATTGGAAATCATCATTCTCAGTAAACTATCACAAGGACAAAAAACGAAACACCGCATGTTCTCACTCATAGGTGGGAATTGAACAATGAGAACGCATGGACACAGGAAGGGGTACATCACACACCAGGGCCTGTTGTGGGGTGGGGGGAGTGGGGAGGGATAGCATGAGGAGATATACCTAATGCTAAATGATGAGTTAATGGGTGCAGGACCCCAGCATGGCACATGTATACATAGGTAACTTACCTGCACATTGTGCACATGTACCCTAAAACTTAAACTATAATAATAATAATAATAAAATTGAAATTAAATGCTTTCCTTAGTAGCCCAATATTTTTCAGGACTCTCAGCCCCGGAAACTATTTGTGTATTTTAATATCATAAATAAATTTTAATGTTAGTTTGGCACAAACAAAAAAAAAAGAAAAAAAAAAGAAATTCACCAATATGGCTGGGCATGGTGGCTCATGCCTATAATCCCAGCACTTTGGGAGGCTGACGCGGGTGGATCACCTAAGGTCAGGAGTTTGAGACGAGCCAGGCCAACATGGTGAAACTCCATCTCTACTAAAAAATACAAAAATTAGCCAGGAGTGGGAGTACACACCTGTAATCCCAGCTACTCGGGAGGCTGAGGCAAGAGAATTGCTCGAACCCAAGAGGCAGAGGTTGGAGTAAGCCAAGATGGTGCCACTGTATTGCAGCTTGGGTGACAAAGTGAGACTCTGTCTCAAAAAAAAAAAAAAAAAAAAAGGAAGCCACCAATATCCAAACAGAGATTCAGGGTTGAGTTCAATTTTCCCAGGAGGAAATCTGTGTAGACTACAATTTTCCATAACAGAGCCTTCTAGTAGGGGAAAACTCAGGTAGGGTGTGTTTCATTTTAAGTGTAATTTACATATTTTTGTTTAAAAGCTTAAATACTAATGACTCATCATTTGTATGTAAGTGCTATTTTGGTATGTTTAAATAAGCTGGCATAGTAAAAAAGAAAATCAACTGTAAAATCAACACTTCTGCTTCAGTGTTAGTCATTTGAAGTGCTGAAGAGTCTTGTTTGTTTATACAGTATCTAGTCAAGTCATTCTGTTGTGGATGACAGCAAGTTTTTATTTGTAATTAATACATGGTGATTTTTCAAAGTATATTGTTACTTTGGTGGCATTTATAATTACATTAAACAGTTTCTGTTTTAATATTTTCCATTAATATTTTATATTCATTAAAATTCTTAACGTTATTAAATCTTAGCTGATTTTGACTCTTCTTCTTTATATGATATTCATTAAAATTCTTGACATTATTAAATTTGAGCTGATTTTGACTCTTATTTATATGAAATGCTTTACATATGTATTTCATATAATTTATTAAATTTTTCTCTTCAAAATGCTGATCTGATTTTGGAATGTTTAGTGAGTTTAAAATATGTATTGGATTAATCACTTAGTAAGTTTGTGAAATTTACAATAATTATAAAAAGGATATTTTTGTAATCTATAAAAATTTATTAGAGAAGGAGACATTGGAATCTTTCTAGAGAAAAACAATAATACAAAAATTGTTTAACCTGAATTCATTTGAGGCAAGTAATCCTATTGTCTCAAAATGGTTTTTAAAAATTGAATAAGAAAATTGAAGTTTTAACTTGACTGCGTATGAGAAATTCATATTTCAAACAGTTTCTGAAGTAGGCCATATTTCTATCATCTACTACACAAAGCTCAAAGAAAATGTGTTACTAATAATCTCATGAGTATTCTCTCTGATTGTTTGAATATAGTATATTCATGTAAGTTTGTGAAATAGGCGCCTTCTTCACACACATTTATATGACATTCTTTGTATGCTGTTAAAAGCAGTGTAAGTGAAAACTTTTGATGTCTCTTTGTACTTTATTGATTTAAAAGAGAAACCCCAGAGCTCAGGGCACAGGCAGACGTAGCCTTTGTATGTCACAGAACATTTCAATACATTCTCTCCAAACAGTGGGCTGCTGTGGCTAGATAGATGGGGAAGGAGCTTCTGTTTCCATTGTTGTTCGTCCACTTGAAGGTAGATGTCATCATCAACCCCCAGAGAATGACACATCACAAAATGTCCAAATGTTTATTTTCCTCTGGGCACCCTCAGGAATTCACATGTATTCAGCTAATGTCCTATGAGACACTGTGCAAGGACCTGTTCATTACCTATGTGTTTTACAGTCCGATGGGGAAATAAGCTAAATACACCTCCACAATTAGACTACACCACCAAGAGGGTTGAACTCCGCAAGAGGGACATCTCAGGCATGTTTGATAATTGGATGAGGTAGGGTGTAGACGAAACCGACATGACAAAAGCTTCCAAAATGCAGTCGTTCTTGCTAAGAAGAAGTTTGCTTCTCTCCCATACAAGAGTTTAGGGGTATGATGGGTGCCTAGCTAGGGTAGATGGCTCGGGCGGCCATCCCCTATATGGGATGAAGGCAACAGAGATAGATCAAACCACACATTCCTACCCCAGCTCCCCAGAGGAGAGGAGAGAATGTGAAGTGGAAGCCACATCTTCACTTCCCCGTCACCTCTTAACTCTCAAAGTCGTCATTTGTCCATGTTCAGCTACAAGAGAGGTGGCGCCAAATCATTTCTTCTCATGGCCGTGCGTTCTGTGAAATCTTGATGGTGGTAATGAGGAGTTCTGTACTTACATAGAAAAAAGTGGAGAATGGCTGCTTAGAGACCATTAGCAGCTGGTGTAGTGAACTGCGACAGAGAGAGATAGGAGTAGCATTTGGCTCTCAGTGAACTTCCTAAGCAAAGCTGTGGCCATGTTGGGGAAAACAATTACATCTCAGGTTCTTAACTTCCTTATATACTTTTGAATGCACGGTAATAAAGAATGCACAGATATGTGTTAAGTAAATACATTTTTATTTTCCCTTAATTATTATTTATGATAATTATAGCAACTAATTTCATGTATAGTCAATATATAAACCAACCTACTAGTAAAAGCTACTGAACATTTTTGTAAAGCTTTAGGCATTTAAACATACTGGTTTATTCTCTAATCTAAGCCCCCAAATGCCATCATATCCAGAGGAAATTCAAGAAGCCAGTTCTGGAGCATTTTCCTCCTACTGCCATGATGAGCTGTTTGATTTTAACCTGCTATTTTTGGGGTATGTTTCTATGTATATGACACTCTATGCAAGACAAATGAAATCTGTAGTAATAGAAAGGAGATCAGAGGTTGCTAAGAGCAGGAGTGGAAATTGAGGACCAGCTTGCAAGGTCAGAGAAAACCACTTGAGATAACAAAAGTGTTTCATATTTTGATTGCGATGGTGTTTTAAGAATATATTGCGTTGGCCAAAACCTTGAACTTCAGTAGGGTTCCCCACCGAGACCATGATAAAAAGCAGGTGGTGGGAGCTATTCACACCAAGGTAGAGGCAGTCAGCGCACACACTGTCTGTAGAGAATTTAGAATAATAGTAAAACTAACTAAAGGTCAGTCTGATTTTTATTATTCTCATGCATTCGCAATGCTAAGCACTGTCAGTGATAAAATACTTTTCTTTGAATAAATCTTGGTAGTCTAAGTTCTAAACACACGGTGCTGTTGTTAGTGACTTTTTAATAACGTGTTATATTTTCAGGCTTCAAATTTGCACCTGTAGTTCAGATTTCACTAACTGTACACTGCACCCATGGAGAAGCTTCCTGGGCAAGGGGTCCTCGTATCAGCCCCTTCTTATTCCAATCATCCTTTCAGCACACAGCCTCCCAAGGACTCCTCTGGTTAGAGGTACCAATTGTTACCCTTTGCTAAAGTATAAGGCCACTTCTTTAGCTGAGAGTAAGGGGGCCCTCAGGTTCTGGGTCCATTTATACCTCTCAGACCCTCATTAGCCACTTCTCTCTGCGCCTAGTTCAGTACGTCTGGCATTGTGGTCTATGGACTACTGCATTGGAATCATTGTGGTATGAGAGATGGAGAGGGGTTTACCTAGGCCCTGCCCCAAATCTGCACAGTTAGAGTATCTGGAAGTGGGTTCCAGGATGTGTCCTCAGATATCCCATTTTTTTTTAAAACTTGTTCTTTTATCATGTGGTGATGAGCTAAATATTTATAACATTAATAGCAAATATATACACCTTACTTATTATGGGATGATTCCTTCTATCAGAATTCTTTTCCAAAGGAGATGCCTAGGTTGAAATACTGGTCTAAATACTTAAATTATATGGAGGGAAAGGCAAGAATTTCGTGATTTTCTCAGCTTGCTTCCTCAAATTTGGTGCATTGACGTTCTAGCAAACTAAATTTGGAGATGCTGATCTCCCACTGCACTCTGACCCTGGGTAAAGATTATCCATCTTGCAGTGGGCAAAATCACCCCTCACTACAAGATATTTGGGATCTCCAATATGGAACTTGGAGAAATAGGTCTTTGCCAATTATATTATATGAAAATAGCATACACGTGAGTGTTATCATTATACTCCTTGTGCATATGATAATTACGCATTAAATGTCAGCGTTCTTCTCTAATCTTTTGCCAAATGGCAGGCTGTGCCCTGTCTGGACTCCCACCCTCTCAGAAATCCTGCAGTACTGGGTGGGCACGGTGGCTCATGCCTGTAACCCCAGCACTTTCGGAGGCCAAGGTGGGTGGATCACTTCAGGTCAGGAGTTCGAGACCACCCTGACCAACATGGTGAAACCCTGTCTCTATTTTTAAAAATACAGAAATTAGCTGGGTATTTAGTCCCGGCTACTTGGGAGGCTGAGGCAGGATAATCCCTTGAACCTGTATATGACAGGGAGACAGAGGTTGCAGTGAGCCGAGATAACACTGTTGCACTCCAGCCTGGGCAACAAGAGTGAAACTCTGTCAAGAAAGAAAGAAAGAAAGAAAAAGAAAGAAAGGAAGGAAGGAAGGAAGGAAGGAAGGAAGGAAGAAAGGAGGAAGGAAAGAAAGAAAGAGAAAAGAAAAGAAAGAAAAGAAAGAGAAGAAAGAGAAGAAAACTGTCAGTATTGTATGGTGTCCATCACACCTGGGACACTGGGAGCCCTACCAAAACCAGCAGTGGTGTTTCTTTGCCTTTCTTTAATCCCTGCTTGCCTTCTCTGTTGATTTTTGGAAAATAAATTGGCCTTGATCAGTACAGAAAATTTATCCTGCTCACCATTTTATCATAGTTTTCTAGGGCCCCACAGAAACCTACAAGCCCCGCTGTGCACTTAGCACTTCTGAGGACGTTGACAGAGGTTTGCTTGATTGTTGGAGTTGCTTTTCTCTGCTGATTCGAAGTTGCATTTTGTGCTAGGTCATGGAAATACAGAATAACAACAATGGTGCATTCAATTTATACGTGTAGGGCGCTTTGAATTCTGCCAAAGCGTTTTCAACCTTGCGGTCTGATTTAACTACATTATGCTACTGGGTTGGATCAGCCCTCCGGGATCATGCCAACAGTGAAAGAAGCTGCCGAGTCTGGCTTTACTTGTACATATCTTTTTTTTTTTTTTGAGTCTTCAAAACTTAGATGAGCTTTTGTGCAGGCTTTGTAAAACTGTTGAAGAAATCCAGGAAGCTTGGCATTGTTCCCACAGGCCTGGTCCCTGGGAGGCTGTGCTCTCAGCAGAGATTCTCAGCAGGGATTGTGCTGCCATTTCTGCTTTCTACTCCTGGTCTTTTTTCTTTTCTTTTCTTTTCTTTTTCCTGGTTCTCCCTTTCAATAAAGATGCTGTAACTCAGGGCAGTGCGCTTCAAAACAAAGCCAGAGAGGATTTCAGGCATCATGTTGGGGTGGGTTTTCTGGCTCCTTCCTCCTTAAAAGTAGGGCATGTCACTCCTCCTCCATCTGCAGCCTTTCTCCAACCAAGTGAGACCTTATCATGGATGGGAATATAGGTCACTTCAAGACTCACGTAAAGGTAGGCTTATTTTTAATCTGGGAGTATTAGAAGTGCCCTTTCAGATCCAGAATCTTCTCTAAAATTTTAAAAATTGGCACTTGAGATAAAGATGGTAAATTCACCGTTTCAGGGACTCTGAATTTTATACACTTGGTCAATTAGGGCATTTATAGTTTAGTGACTTAATTCATTTACTCACTAAATAGTTTTTGAGGTTGGGGCTTGGATGGAAGTGGGGATGTGTAATGGGTCCAAAAAAAGAGAACGAATAAGATCTAGTATTTGATAGCACCGCAGGATGACTCTTGTAAGCAATAATTTAATTGTATATTTTGAAATAAAGTAGTATGATTAGATTGTTTGTAACATGAAGAATAAATGCTTAAAGATTTACCCCTCCAGGATGATACATACCCCCATTTACCCTGATGCAATTAAAATTCATCGTATGCCTGTATCAAAATATGTACCCCATAAGTATGTATATATGCAAAAAACAAAAATTAAATAAAATTTTAAAAATTAAAAATTAAAAAAGTTTGTAGATTCTCTGCTCTTGATTAATTACTTTAGTGGGTGCTCTGTGTATAACTAGCCTCCTTTCGTATTCCTTAAGTTCTGCTGCTCATAGTTCCTCCCTTCCAAAGAGTATAGGCTGCAAGGAAGTAAAAATACAGAAGTTTATAGTGGAGAAACTGACAAACACGACCCTAGCCAAGTGATCAAGTCAACATCCAGAGTGGAAGTCCCACTGATGATGCGTGTCCCTGGCATGCTGCGACGAGAAGTGTTCTTTACCTCTGTGATCTTCCCAACAACCCACAACCTGGTGCACTGTGAGAAAACACCAGACAAGTTCCACAGGAGGGACATTCCACAGAATATCTGGCCGCAACTTCTGAAAACCATCAAGGCCCTTAAAACAAGGGAGGTCCGAGAAGCTGCCCCAGCCAGGAGACACCTAAAGAGGAACGGCACGTAAACGCAGTGTGGTATCCGAATGGATTCCTGAAACAGAAAGCGAACGTTACTTAAAAGCTAAGATAATTCAATAAGACTTTAGTGAAGAAGAATATGCCAATATTGGTCACTGATTGTAAGAAATGTCCATACAAAGCTAAGATGCTAACAGTAAGGAAAACGGGCTGTGGCCATTTATGGAGATTCTCTACTATTTTTAAACTTTAAAACAAATTTTTAAAGTAGTCTAAATTTGAAAATTTATTAAGAATTCATAAAAATATCTATACCTATGCTTGTCGATTAGTAAATATAATGTTATTTTATGCAACTTACAGAGCAATGAAATATTAAACCCTAAATAAAAAAGACAGAGCAGGTAGTAGTTGGGTATAAAAATCTAGAAGTCAGGTAAGAGGTTGGCCCTAGAGACCAAAGTGTAGATTCCAATCTTATTCAAAAAGGGGATTCAAATATGCATGGTATTTGAATGCCAGGGACTGGGTGACATCTCGTAGGCAGTAGTTTTTTGAGCTGGGGGTAATTTTTCTCCGCAGATGACGTTTGGCAATGTCTGCAGAGATTTTTGATTGTTAGAACTCTAGGAGCTTGGAGTGCTATGGCATCTAGTAGATAGAGGCCAGAGATGTTGCAAAATGTCCTACAGCCAGACAATCTCCACAGCAAATAATTATTTCATACAAAATGCCAGTGATGTCAAGGTTGAGAAGTCTACATATGGTATCAGAATAGATAGAGAAAGACGCAACACCTAAGATAGACTCTTTGATGTTACAATTAAAGTTCAACAGAAGAATAAGAAAGAATAGCTGTAAAAATAAAAGAATGTGGAGAGAGCAGGATAGAAAAAAATGGAGGCAATTCCTAACCATGAAAGGACTGTTTTGAGAGTTGTTGAGATGGGTGGTGAGTCTTGAAAAGGTGATCATTAACATCACCTCTTTGTATCAACCTTAGAGAAATTCACACACATTTATACGATAGATTTATAGTAGAAATATTTGCAGCATTTGAAATTGGAAAAATTAGCAAATAGACTATTTTTGTATGTAGCAGCTGTAAAAATGAGCTTGATCTATCTGTATTGAACACAGGCTTCTAAGGTGTACTATTGAGTGAATAAAGCTTGTGACTACATATACTGTATAATAACATTCATGTAACACAGATATACACAGCTTTGCATTTTATATAGTTCTATAGATATACATGTATGTATTAATAAATGCACCCAAATGTGTCAGGAAGCACATTGATCCAATCACACTTTCCTCTGTGGTTGGAAGTCAGATTGACACCCAAAAATTATTTAAGAATTACCTGTTTGGTGTGTGCTGTTTGTATACAAACTCTGGAGCCACACCACCTCAGGTCAAATCCTGGCTCTCCCTTTTACTTGGTTTATAAACCTGAGGGATGTTCCTTAACTTTTCTGCCTCAGTTTGTTCATCTTTAAAATGGGGATAATAGTAGCTACTGCAGAATCTTGTTGGGAAAATAGGAGAGTTCATGTTCATAAATTGAAATATGTACACAGTGGTTTGTCTAGGAAGCATTGTCTGTGTTAGCTGTTGTTATTAAGAATATGGTTAAAATAAGTTATTGAATAAATGAAAGACTCCCCTCTTTGTGTAACCAGCTCAATCTTATGCTCATAATTAGTGTAAAAATGTGTAGGTATCACTTTTCATTCTAATCTCAGTGACTAATAACAAAGAACGGTATGTTATTCAATATGAAAACATCCATACAGCACCAACAACCAAAACAAAGTCTGACTGCGTACATTCATTCTTTTCACCTTAGGCAAGTATGTTTAGAAATCAGTCGGGGTCTACCCTGAGATACTTATCAATTAGGAATGCACAAAATATTTGGAAAAGAATGAATTCTACATGTCATTTTAGTGGGCAAAACGGTTTGATCTCTCATACAAAGACTTAAAGCTCTCAGGATGAAAAGAAACAAGGCCTAAGGACTCAACATGACATTATATTTTTGGGAAAACAATCCTAATTTTTATAATACTACATAAAATCAAACTAAAGGCTCAGTGATGTAAATATTATTATTAGATCTGATCCTCTACTTCATATTTTTTTTCAATGCCACTTTCTTATTGAGGTGTTTCCTGACTACCTAATGTAAAATTGCATTCTCTACCTATTCCTATCAAAAAAATACCATTTTCTCTTGATTTATTTTTCTCCATAGCATTTAAAATCCACTGAGCTATTACAAATTTTATTTTTTTAATGGTGTTTCTTCTCTCTGCATGCCCCAAATATACTCACTGAGGGCGATATTGCATTCCTAGTGCCTGGAAAAATATTCCACACATAATACGCATTCAGTAAATATTCAACATAATTTGCATTCTATAAATATTTGTGGAATGAATGAATGAATGAATGAATGACATATCACAATGTTGCCTTCCCTGCATTTACGCTACCACTAATCTGAGTTAGCTATAATGATTCTTAAGAATTCCCTGGGAAAAATGCCATTTTAATTTCAATTTATTTTTTCCGCAATATTTCCTGAGTTTCCAAGATTGTTCCTATTCCATGAGCAGGACCGTTCCCAAGGGCTTTGGGTAGAAGATCATTTTGTTTTCAGAATATTCCACTTTATGTCTCTCTCCTTCCTCCCTTCCTCCCACTCCAGAATACATGTGCCTACCACTTAGATGACTTTGATGAACACTAGAGTCAGACTGAAATACACATGAGTTACTACAGAGCATCTGGCCCAGCACAGGTCAGATAGGTCAGGCTCACGGAACCGTTGCAGGCTGCTCTGCTTCTTCCACAGCTTCCATTGAAGCCACAGCTTCAATGCCATAGAGACCATTTTTAAAGACCACATTTAATTCTGTATTCATTTGGACTCCAGGTGTTCCCTCTATGTCACAACCCTATAGGGCTAAGTCATGCATCAGGGAGGGTTCTGGAAAGAAAAGAGCATGAGATCTGAGACAAAGGTGGAGTTAGGACTCAAGTTCCCTCTTGGCCATAAGCCTCTCTCTGCCCATTTTTAGATGGCCTCATTGTCACATTCTCTGTGGGGCTCCTGGAAGAATTCAGGGAAATAATACATGAAGTGCCTGGCGCTTAGAGTTCAATAATTGTTAGTTCACTTGCTCCCCAGGCTGTGCATTAATTACAATATGTGTGTGTGTTATGGGGGAAACAGAAAAAAAGTTTAAATCATTAGGTCATTTAAATAATATCTACATCCTTTTAAAATCAAATGGAAATAAACATTCCCAGTGTATATCCTATCTGCACACTTGTTGTTTGTTATGATGGAATTATCAAGACTCAACAATCAACAGTAGGTCTTCAGAAATTAAAGAAAAATACCTGGAAGCCCACAGTTATACTATGTACAGAGTTGAATACATGACGTGTAAGGCAACAGCAACCACAAAACATGCTTTATCCTTTCCGAAAGACTCTTTTCATGAAGCTTGAGCTGTTTATGTGAATTCAGTAACAGAAAGCACATTTAGGTTTGAATGAATATGAAAATCATGGATTTGTAATATACTAATGCCAAGTAAATTAAAGTGTTTATAATGATAACATTGAGTCTATTTTTAGAAGCTAACTTCCAGGACAAAGAAGAGAAATAACTGAAGTTAGACTGAGAAACAGCCAAGAATTCAATAATTAGAAATAAAAGATAATGCCACATGACCTTTATATTGTTAAAATGCTTTTATTATTTTCTACACACACACGCACACATACACATATAAATTGTGTGTGTATATAAATTTATGATACATAATACATATATATCAGATATATATGAGCTATAGAATACATTATTATATGTTATATAATGTGTGTATATAAATTGGGAGAACTGATTTTAAAATCTAATCTGCATGAGTCCTAAATTTTATATTTGAATACAATTGTAGAACCATTATTTTGAATTATATCCACTTCACAGGAATCTAATATACTTTGATTTGAATGACTTAGATGTATTTTTCCAGAAAATATGTAATACCTGTGTGTGTTCACCAGCATAGACATAAAAACTCTAATTAAAAAAAAAATAATGCAGTGCCAGAGTCTGAAAGAAAAAGGGGATGATGAAGATGCTGAGAAGCCATGTCTCACAATGTCTGGAAATAGCTTTAAAGTGTGTAATTTAGTCTTTGTGTTTCACAGTTCACTGGTGTTCACACGTTTTATTTTAGTCTTTGAATCTTATGGTTACTGCTTTGACTCTTAGGTTCTCTACTTAAAATTATTTCTACTACAATCCATCTTGTCAAGCTAATTTCCCCTTTTCTATGTTGCAGCTAATAGCAGGAACATTCTTGAGTTTCTTTCATTCTAAAGCATTGCACATCCTCTTTCTGAGCTGTAACAGCATCTGCTGCCCACAGGGCCCCATGATGTCCCTGGATCTGGTCTTCCCCCAACTGGGGACAGTGTTCTGACCCCAGCACCAGTGGCCCTTCCGACGTTCTCAGCAGTCATTTCTACTGCTGTGGCCACTTGTCATTGATGATCGGTAATGTAGCACTGTTTTAAATGACAGTGTCCTTGAAACCGTTCGTCTGCTCATATCATACACAATTGATGGTCCTTTTACCTGCCTAACCCTATAAGGACAGAATTCCTGTAGTATATGTGGGGAGAAATGAGAGGCTTTGTCTCACTTCTGCTCCTAAGCTCATTAATGGGACAACTGTCGCCCACATTGTGGGTTCCTCAGAGATGAGTACCTCAGCACCCGGTACCCCAGCCCACGACTGCGTGGCCGCTGCAGGTGGGAGGGCACAGGTGGTGACTGCCATGTTCAGTGTCTCCCTGTGCCCCGTCTGTGGCCTCCACACCATACCTCAGGCACAAGGCTTTCCTGTAAATCAGCTTTGTAAAACTGGAAGATTCAGGCATAACATTGTAATTATAAAACAGGAAGTAGAAACTCCTCCGTGAACAAGATGTTGAATATAATTACTCTCAGATGCCATGGGGACATTTTTTTAAATTTAACTTTTTGTGGGAGAAGTCAGTCTGGGCCTGAGGGCTGCAAAGTTCAGGATGGTGCAGTCCCCAGCATGGTACAAGCCTGGGGTGCTACTCATCGAGGATGGTTCACATCCAGGGTGGTACACCCTCAGGGTGCTACACGGCTAGGGTGCTATGTGGCCAGGGTGGTACATGCCCAGGGTGGTACGTGTCCAGGGTGCTATGCATCCAGGGTTGTACGCAGCCAGGATTGTAGGTGGCCAGGGTGGTACACGCCCAGGGTGGTACACGTACAGGGTGCGCTATGTCTCTTCTTATTGCACGAGAGAAGAAAATGAGACCCGGATTTAATTATCCTTCCGGTGACCGAGCTCTGCCGTGGTAGAATCACAGATGGAATGAAGTGTCCTGCTCCTCCTGACTGTCCTTCCTCCCTCTGGAGGGGTCGCTGGTCCCCTGAGATGTGACCCTCCAGTTAAATCGAGTTAAGCAGCTTTTATGGTAAAGAATTTTAGAGCTTGGAATGACACAAAGTAGACTGAGATTGCCTTTAGCTTATTAAGACAAGGTTCTTATCAGTAAATACTAAACAGAATTGCATTGTGTTATTTTTAAGTGTTGCATCAATTTTCAGAGATGATTTCTCTGTTTTTCCTTTGCCATTTTTATATTTTTTAATTTGCAATAAGGAAGTATGAGAAAATAAGTTATTTGTATTTGAAACAGCAGTTATTGTGCAGATCCCTCAACTTTTAGAATGAATGAGTCCACCCCAACTCTCATCTTCTTTCTTACTGTTAAGATGAGAACATGTGAGCCAGAAAATATCATATCAAATAATATCACAGAGACAAGCAATGGGCAAGAAAAGACAGGAACCCCAGTCTCCTAATTATTCAGCGTTTTTTTTTAATTAAGCTTTGCCAAAATTATTTCTTTCTGACATTACAGTTGCATTTAAAAGCATTTCAATTATATCAACACAATTGGGACAATATGGTGTGGTGGAAATATCATAGGTCTATACAGATTCAGGTTTATCTGTGTTATCTTAACTGAGTTCCTTAGCCTCTCTGTGTCTCATCATTTTTGTATGTGAAATTGGAATAATGATGCCTCATTTGGAGACGTGTAAGGTTTGAAATACCATATATAAAGCGTTCCAGCATTTGAAAGAGCTCAGCAAGATATCAATAGTATCTATTAGTAATAAATCTTATTTTAAGGTAATTGAATGTGTAATTCAGAACACTGAAATAAATGTATGGTTTCACCCAGGAACCACCACTCCTAGAATTAAAAAATGCATTTCGTCTTTTGAAATTCCAGTTTGGCTATTCTACATTGATTTCCCCCTCAAGGCGGCCAGACAGCAGCACACATAAAGCTATTTGTCTTTTCTCATTATTTTACTGTTATCTATTTGTCTGTTTGTATTTAAAATACTTTTTTTTGAAGACAACATAACACTGGGTGTATTTTTCATCCATTATCATGATGTGCACCTTGCAGGTGTGAGGTTCATGTCATTTACGCTTCCTATGTTTATTGGTGTGGCTGTATTTAATTTTACCACCTTGCAGTTTGCTTTGTATTTCTCATTCATTTTCTTTTTTCCTCTTCTTTTTATGTTTTCCTTTTGTTGGATTGGGTACTTTCTGTGATTCGTTTTATCTCCTATGCTAGCCTAATAGCTGTAACATTTGTCTTTGCTATTTTAGTGGTGACTTTAGACTTTATAGCAGTCTACCATAATCTACTGTGATGTTATACTGCTGCTTTTTTTATTGTTTTGTTTTGTTTTGTAGACAGAGTCTCACTGTCTCACCCAGGCTGGAAGTGCAGTGGTGCAATTTCCGCTCACTGCACCCTGTGCCTCCAAGGTTCAAGTGATTCTCCTGCTTCAACCTCCCAAGTAGCTGGGACTACAGGTGCAAGTCACCACACCCAGCTAATTTTTTTTTTCCCATATTTAGTAGAGGTGGGTTTTTGCTCTCTTGGCCAGACTGGTCTTGAACTCCTGAACTCATAATCTTCCCACCTCAGCCTCCCAAAGTACTGGGATTATAGGCATGAGCCACCGTGCCCAGCCTGCTTTTTTTTTTTTTTTTTTTTTTTTTTTAATATGTTGTACCACTTCACCTATTGTATAGCGAAGATACAGCAATGTGCTCTCCTTTCTTCTTACCCAGCCTCTGTGGTATTGCTGTCATTTCTGTCACTTCTACATATGTTAGAAACCTAAAATATATATTATTTGGCTTTAAACAGCTAATAGTGTTTTAAACAGATTTTTAAAATAAAATATATTTTATAATTCCCCATACGGGTATCATTCCTGGTGCTTGGAATTCCTTACTATGCTATTACCTTCCGCTGGAATGACTCATTTTAATATTCCTTGTGGTATGGGCCTGCTAGTGACGGGCTTTCAGTTTTCACATGTCTGAACTTGTTTCTCTACCCTGTGATATTGCAAAATATTTTTGTCATATAAATTTATTTAGATTGATGGTTGTTTTGCTTATTCGTTATTTCAGTACTTCCTATAAGTTGCTGAATCTCTCCTTGGTTTCATTCTTTCTGAAGAGGCATCACCTGGCCCCTTTATCTTTGTCTCTCTACACAGAACATTACTCCTACCCCCACTAGTAGGGATGCTTTAAAGATTTTTTCTTCATTGCTGTATTTAGGCACCTTGATTTTGACATGTGTGATATGGTGCTCTTCATGTTCTTTGCATTTTACACTTACTGAACTTTTTGTATTTATGAGTTCACTGTTTTAGTAAATTTTGAAGTTTTTAGGTAATTTGTTTCCTTTTCTTCTTTTTTTCTGTCCCTCTTTGTGTTCCCTGCCTTCAGTGAGTTTAATTACATACTTGTGTCTGCTTGGAGATGTCCCAAAGTTCATTGATTCTCTGTGCTCTTAGTTTTGCTTTGTTTTTGCTTGGAAATCTTTCTTTTTTCTTTTATGTTTCATTTTAAATACTTTATCTTGCTATCTCTACATGTTCATTAATGTTACCTTCTGCTATATCTATTCTACCTTATAACATCCATTGATTTTTGAATCTCAGATGGTTTTAACTCTAGATGTTCAATCTGGGTTTGTTTTGTTTTTTTGTGGGTATGTTTGTTTGTTTTTTAATATTTCCCATGTCTCAAGACAACATGTTCCATCATCACCTGACTGAGAACAGGGCATACAGTTCTAATAACAGTTTTAATGTTGGTGTTCACTGATTGAAAATTCTGTTTTATTTCTGGCTCACTTTTCATTGATTGAGTTTTCTTCTTCTTATGGATATCTTCTTACTTTTTTGCGTGCTTATTACTTTTTGATTGGATGCCAGAGACTGTGAATCTCACTTTGACAGGTGCTGAATATTTTTGTATTCCCATAAATATTCTTGAACATTCTTTCACTGGGGTTTGGTTGACTATTTGTGGAACAGTTTGATCCTTACACTACTTTTTAAGGCTGGATGTAGGTTGAGGCACGAAAGAAGTTGCTTTTTTCGTAGTAGTAAGCTTGATTTGCATTTAACAATTCTTGTCATAGTTTTGCGAAAATTTATATATGGATTAATTCTTCTAGTGTTTAAAATGGCAAAGGCCCGGCCAGGCGCGGTGGCTCACGCATGTAATCCCCGTACTTTGGGAGGCCGAGGCGGGCGGATCACGAGGTCAGGAGATCGTGACCATCCTGGCTAACACGGTGAAACCCCGTCTCTACCAAAAATACAAAAAAATTAGCCGGGCGTGGTGGCGGGCGCCTGTAGTCCCAGCTACTCGGGAGGCTGAGGCAGGAGAATGGCGGGAACCCGGGAGGCGGAGCTTGCAGTGAGCCGAGATCGCGCCACTGCACTCCAGCCTGGGCGACAGAGCGAGACTCCGTCTCAAAAAAAAAAAAAAAAAGGAAAAAAAAAAAGAAAGAAAAGAAAATATAGGACCACGTGAGGATTCACTAGTGAAGTCAAAATGTAAGACCATAAGATTATTTAATAATTCACACTAGCAAATATTCATGATGCTTCTCAAGAGCCATTTACATAGTGAACATTATCTTGCAACAGCATTTTTATTTTTTCGATTGTCCGGAGCTGCTAAAGTCTTTCACGTGCTATTAAAAATCTTTTGAAAATCTAGTCTCTAGGTTTCAAATCCATTTGCCAACTGGTCGCTTACCTTGTTTTTGACTTTGCTGCAGTCTCTCCTGCAGTGTTTTTGCTATTATATGAATTTGCCTCGAGAGCTTGAAACATGTTTTTTAAAACTATGTTATGGTTGTGCCCTCCATTCTACCTAAGAAAACATCGTAAGTCTCCCCAATCCATATATGCATGTTATTATAACTAACCTCCATTGTGAACACCGTAGATCTAATCACACTTTATCATCACCTCTTCTGATGTTAGCCACATTTTCATATGAAAGAGTTTTTGTCATGCTTGCAAGTAGAGATTCTGAATCCATCATCATATGCAAGCTCTACTACCAGTTCTTAACAGTTACCTGTCCTGGAAATTACTTGATCTCCCTGCAGCATGTTTTTGTTTGTGTGTTTGTTTGTTTAAAATGGGCATAATAATAGTACTTACTGATACATACTCAATATATATAAACGACTTGGAACAGTGTCTAGCACATAGTGTGTGTTGTGCAAGTATTTCCGGTTATTATGATAAGGCAGAAATAATGAAGTGGAATTACTATTGCTAAATGAAAAACTACGATGTCCTTCTCCTTCACTTCCATTACAACTATGCTAGCATTTCATTAATAGCCTTGACTCTCATACCCTTTAAAAATATTGTTTCTGAAATTGCGATATGTTAAAATCTCTGTATACTTTGAAAATTGTATTATTTCCCTAACATTTGCATGGTGCTTTAGAATTGGGAAAATAATTTTAACAGTCCTGACATGTATGGGGCACTTAACCTGTACCGAGTGCCCTGATTTGTGATATCTTTTTACAATTCTCTATAATAAACCCAAGAGTAAGCTTTACTTTTCATTCCCCTTTCTAAGATGTAGAAACTAAGATCTAAGTAATTTGTCCAACATTACAAAATCACTTTCTGGAGCAGAAACCCAAATCTATTTGATGCCAGATCTGATGACTGTAACTCCCTGTGCCATATACTTTTCTATAAATGCTTGCCACAACGACTTCCCCCACATCAATTTATCTTTCTTATTTGGCCAAATCTTGCCCTTTTCCACCTTCAAGTATATTTACAGCTCACTTCCTCATTGAGTTATTCTCAGCCAGTTCTGATTACGTCCCATGAGGTCCTTCTCTTTCACTGTCATTCCTCATCCTGGAGAATGAGACTTTTTGAAAGTAGAAGGCATTCAATGACTGCCACCTCCTGGGAGGTCCTCATTGCTTTTGTCATAAATGCTTTGTCAGCACCTTCTCCTTTTACAGATTGGCTCGCATTCAGAGAGCCAGTAAAGAGAAGAAATGTAAGGTTTCAAGACTAGGAAATCCGATTTTTTAATGTGATCCTGAAAATTATATAACCAGATTTTTCTAATCCTTCCCAAAGCCAGGAGAGAGAGTGGGGTGAAGAGCTTTCAGCAGCAAATAGTCCAAAACAAACACATTTGATATCGTTGGTTTACATAGAAAGTACACATCATGAAGGAATTTGGAGTTATATTTTCTTAAGCTACCAGGAGACTACTACAGAGGCAAAGTGTAGAGAAATGGAGAGAAACCCTAAGGGACCTAGATTCCAGATGAATCCACCTCATGAAATTCCACTGATTGTACACATGCTGTTGAAAATGCTGCCGTTGCTTTGATGAATTTTAAACTTCCTTTCGATAGCCTTGTCCCATGTAGTAATGAATATTAATATTGTATTGTAGTATCATGCTTTCACTTTTCTTTTGGAAAGATACTTAATATGACATCCACTTAACCATTGAAACAGCTGGGTTAAAGGTTTGATGTGATAGCCCAATTAAGTCACTGAATTGTGACCATATGTACTTGCCAAATTAAGTGTTACGGAGGGAATTTTCGTGTGCATATTTAGAATGGCAGCCTATGTTTCAAGTTTCAAGCCCTGATGTACAAATTTGGCTTCATGGGGTCCAGTGGAAACCTGCCATGAGAGAAAACAACTGTGCCCAGAGCTCTTTCAAGAAATCCTTTCACGTTACCAAATGTCTGCATTGGGCGCAGAATTCCCATCACCTAAATAAGTATTGCTTTCTTGAAGCATCTATGGGAAGGAGTGTAAATGGCTCAGGAAATAAATAAAGAGAATTAAAAGTAGAGTTTATGTCAACTCAGTAGGTATTTACTAAATTCTTCATGTGTATTCATTACTTCTGGGAGTCACAAAGAGACATGCATAATCTTCAGGCAAACTGGTTAAAATTCAGTTAAAATGAAATTGGCAGAAATGACATTGGGTTGAAATAATTTGCTTTCAAATTAGTTTTTCTCGAACACTAAATTACCATATTTTGGTAATATTTGTGTCTGTGTGTGTCTTGAATCTTTGCATAGACCTAGCAACAATTCCATCAATATTTTACAATTTACAAGTTTTTTTGATTTTTTAGTAAAATTGCTAATGGATTTATAATACTATGTCTGTTTTGCGTTTTTTGGTGTTTGAAACTAGAAGAAAATATTCTAATTTATTCTTAATTATTTCTATTTATTCACATTGTTCCCATTAAAATTTTTACAAAAACTTTTTAAAAAGAAAATTTGTTGAAGATAAAAATCCCCAATCCCTAAATCATAAATTTATAACTTTGTGTCACCAATCAGTGACTTTAAACCTTAAATGGTAGATCTAATCATTTTTTCCCATTTGCTGAGTTATTTTACTTCCAAACTTTTTGAATTAATTTTAAGCCTCTGATACTTATTTACACTTTTTACCAAGTGTGGGAATAAAGTGACTAAAATTATACATTATTTTTTGATTCATTGTTTCTAAAATAACATTTTGTCCAACTGAATTTTGAAAAACTTTTTTTCCTATTCCCACTAAGCTTATGAGCTACGTGAATTTCAGTTATTGTACGTATGTATACGAGAATATATGATCTACTTTATAATATATTAATATTTATATACAAACATAAAAAGATTCAATTCCAACCTGGAATGGTTCAAGGCCCTCAGAACTATTAACGGCTGTTTGCAGTAAAATCTGATAGAGTCATAAAGAACAGATATTTGGAGACCTGTTATCTCATTCAATCTTCACACCTTCCCCTTTAAAATCAATACTGATGGGAAAACATTTTCAGTAGATAAGCACACCTGATAAATATAAGAGACCTAAAGTCCATTCTCCTTTCCATTGCAATCCCTGTCAGTTGAAAAACGGCACCTTGCAAAGGCTATGTCTGATTTGTGTTTTTCAAATTCTTCTAAAATTAAGTGTCAAGATGTTAAGGTAAAGAAAAAAATCTGTAGAGAAGACAAAAAAGCAAACCATTGAAATGGTCTAAGATGCCCCAGAAATAGACATCCTCTTTATTCTCTATAATGCCACTGGGCTGTTGCGTGGAGCTGATGGCCATTGCTGTTACAGCAAGTGCTCACTTCAAGTGCTTGGTAGGTTCTGGGAAAATGTGGCTCTAAGCAAAACAATGTAAGACAAGACCAATTTTCCCACAGGTTAATTGATATAAACAAAAGTAAAGTTCCTATGTCATATTACTTGTCATAGAAAACATCTACAAAATTCTAAATATTAAAGATCAAAACACTTCTAATATTGAACACTGACACACATGTGAGCTCTACATTCACTTAAGAAAGATTAATAAAAACAAGTAAAATAATTTATCCAATTATTCCAGTTTTGGGTTGTGGGTGGCCAGAGCTGTCTCAGCAGCTCCGGGTGCCAGGTGGTCACCAGCCCTGGACAGGACACACTACCATGGCAGGATCACACACACACACACACACACACACACACACACACACACACCCCACACTCACCCATACTAGGATCCAGGGCACATGCCAATGAGCCTAACATGCAAACATGGTCATCTTTGGGATATGGAGGAAACTGGACATACCTCATGCAGAGATGGTAAGAACAGGTGGTGGCCCTGGTCAGGAATCTATTTATTTTTCTCATCCATGTTATAATGAAATAGTGGTGCTGCCAACAGTGCTATTTGAGGACCTGGTGTAAAATAAAAGCCTGCAACTGCATCTGCAAAAGGATCCTTTACGTCAGATACAATGAGAAATGCAATTTCATGAAAAGAACAGGCATGCTCTCCATTGATGTCTAGTTTTTTCTTTGACATCCGCTGCTTCTAACATCTGCCTTAATTTTTCCCTATTAAAAATACCTTTCCTAAATTGATGAAATTGAACAGAATAAATATTTTTCATATTCAATTTTATGGTAGTAGCTGTCTCTTGGAAGTTTGAAGAGATGGGTGTTTACAAATATTTCTTTTCAGACACCTTCTTGGGGAGACTCATATTCATTAATGATATTTTTCCTTCAGAAATATGTAAGTCAATACATTTCTACACTGCTGGAAAATACCATTGCGCAGTACCATGGTAACAATTTTGGAGGGGTCCCTCTTTAAATTTACTAAATATACTGTAGATGATAAAGTGGGAGGCTTGACCATAACAACAGCATCTTGAGATATGTTACATGCAGTCATGCATGACTTAACAACTGGGATGCATTCTGAGAAATGCATCCTTAGGTGATTTTGTCCCTGTGCAAACATCACAGAGCACACTTACACAAACCCAAGTTTTGCGGCCTACTACGCACCTAGGATGTGTGGTGTAGCCTAGTACTCCTAGAGTGCAAACCTGTACAGCATGTGGCTGAACTGAATACTGTAGGCAACTATAACATAATGGTCAGTATATGTGTCTCTAAACATAGAAAAGGTACAGTAATAAAACAGCATTAAAAATAAAAAAAAGTGTTACACTCTCATAGGACACTTACCGTGAATAGAGTTTGTGGGGCTGGAAGTTGCTCTGGGTGAGTCTGTGTGTGAGTGAGGGGTGACTGTGAAGGCTTCGGACGGGACTATGTACGACTGTAGACTTCATAAACACTGTACACTTAGAGTACACTAAATGTATAAAAACACATTTTTCTTTTTTAATCATAAATTAAGCTTAGTATAACGTTACTTCATAAACTTCTTTTTCATTTTTAAGCATTTGACTCTTCCGTAATAATATTTAACTGAAAACATAAACCTTGCACAGTTGTGCAAAACATTTATATTGTTATTCATAAGAGTTTGTCTATTTAAAATTTCTTTATATGTTCTTACTTTTTAAACTGTATTCATTAAAAATTAAGACTCAAACACACACCCTAGCCTAGGCCTGCACGGGGTCATCTCTTCCACCTTGACGTCTTGTCCCACCAGAAGGTCTTCGGGGCAAGGACAGGTATGGAGCTTTCATCTCCTAGGATAATAATGCCTCCTTTTGGAATCCTTCCTGAAGGACCTGACTAAGGTTGTTTTACAGTAAAATCGTAATTTTTTTTTAGTAGAAGAAGCACACTCTGAAATAATGATAAAAAGTATAGTATAGTAAGTAGAAAAACCAGTGACAGTTGTTCACTATTATCATCAAGCATATGCAGTGAACCTAATTGTATGTGCTGAAGATTTGTATGACTGGCTGCACAGGTGGTTTGTTCACACCGGCGTCACCACAGACACGTGCATCATAGCTGGCACTACGACCTCATGACGGCTACAACATCAGTACGCCATCATCTCCTGGGACCGATGTTGTATATGAGTCGTATCATTGAGCTGTTGTTAGGCAGCTCACAACTATATATTACTGTAGAATGTTTCGTTGATCTTTCTGCACGATAATCATTTGCATTATTCATACCAAAGTTAATTGAAAAAAATAATTTCAGGCCCTTTTAACAGAAAAAACGTATAGAAGAGTCGCGCAGACTAAGTTCCATTTCCAGAGTGTTTCATTTGCATTTTCCGTGTGTGACAATGACTGGTCATTGTGGTTATCTTTAGCAGATTTATTTGATAGATTTCCATTGATAACCGTGTCTTTGGGGAACAATTATCTGGACACCTTCTGTTGGAAAATGTGTGCCTTCTAAGAAGAATTAGCAGTAGCAGTTAATAATAATGACCCTAAGAAGACATGTTGATTTATTTTAAATATTCCTGGACATTAAAGAAAAACATCAAAAAGCTTTTGTCCACATGTTTACTTTTTTTAATCACTCCCTTTCTCACTCTTCACATTTACGGTGGCTATACAACGTGTGTCTTTGACTGTAAGAGCTCTCGGCTCAGCTGATGGACAAGGCATTCTGAGTCAAAAGTTGAAGGGCTGCCCTGATAAAATGGAAAGTTTTTCTTCCTTATAAATGTCACTTTTAATGTACTATAAACAGCACACATGTTTGCTTTAAGGATAGTGAATGTGGAATTAAATACAGAATTTTCTTATTAAAAAAGACAAAAATGATTGCAGACAATAGTGAACTATTTTCTGTTGTGTTTTCAAACAGATTTCTGTAGACTGCTCTCAGAAATTACTTCTTAAAAACTAGAACTGAATACACTTTGACTATGTAAATAGAGATCTCATAAACATGTCAATAATATTCAATATCTAAACACTAGTATTTATTTCCTAAATATTTCTATATAGTTCTGTTTGTACTTAAGTAATATCATGATAAATAAAAATACTTTTAGAAATAGATGATTCCTATTCCGTATTCTAAAAATGTTCTCTATGTTACTCAGTTTAAAAACTAATAAAACAGAAAATATTATTCTACATTATATCAATACATTAAAATACACCCCCATGCCGATGCAAAGACAATGGATACAGACATGAAATAGTTTCTGTTCAATTGGAAATACATTTTTATTTGGAAGTGTTTGTATTTCTCTACTAGTAAGTTTCATAGCTTACTTGAATACTAAATAGCAGCTAATTTACTGATGACATACTAAATTTAAACCTTAGATATGGATACAATAGCCAACAATGATGAATTTCATCCATTCAACTGAATGATGTACCGTTTCAGTTCAAAATCATGTTCTATAAGTGTGGAATGGAGTTTCAAGTCAATTGATTTAGATAGAGAATCATATCAAGGAAAAAGTGAGAGGACCAAAAAGAACAGAATCAATACCCCATTATTGAAATTGTCAATGAAAAGAGTCAAACTGTGTAAAATATTTGAAGAGATTTATTCTGAGCCAAATACGAGTCATCAGTGGCCCATGACGCAGCCCTCAGGAGGTCCTGAGAACAAGTGCCCAAGAGGATTGAGCCACAACTTAGTTTTACACATTGTAGGGAGACATAAGACATCAATCAATACACTTCAGATATACATTGGTTTGGTCTGGAAAGGCGGGACAACTGGAAGTGGGAGCTTCCAGGTCATAGGTAGAATCAAAGGTTTTTTTATTGTTGTTGTTTTGTTTTTTTGAGGCGGAGTCTCGCTCTGTCACCCACGCTGGAGTGCAGTGGTGCGATCTCGGCTCACCGCAAGCTCCGCCTCCCGGGTTCACGCCATTCTCCTGCCTCAGCCTCCCAAGTAGCTGGGACTACAGGTGCCCGCCACCACGCCCGGCTAATTTTTTTTGTATTTTTAGTAGAGACAGGGTTTCACCGTGTTAGCCAGGATGGTCTCGATCTCTTGACCTCACGATCCTCCTGCCTCGGCCTCCCAAAGTGCTGGGACTACAGGCGTGAGCTACCGTGCCTGGCCAGGTTTTTTTTTTTTTTTTTTTTTTTTTCATATTGGAAATTAATTGCAAGAGTTAAGTTATTGTCTAAAGACATGGAATCAATAGAGAGGAATGTCTGGGTTAGAAGAAAGTATTGAAGAGACCAATGTTTTTATCATGCATACAAAGCCTCCAGGTAGCAGGCTTCCGCAAACAGATTGTCAGTGTTTCGTATCGGAATTGAGGAGCCTGTTCTATCAGTAATTCCAACAGGGAAGAGAGTATAATGAGGCATGTCTGACTGCCCCATCCCACCACGGCCTGACCTAGTTTTTCAGATTAACTTTGGAATCACCCTGGCTGAGAGGATGTGTCCATTCAGATGGTTGACGGCCTTTGAATTTTATTATTTTTTTACAAAATGAAAGTGAATTCAGTATTTCTGTTGTCAAAACTTAGCACTGAAACTTGCTTTTGAATCAGACACTATAAATGGACAGAGCCTGGCTGCTGGCCTGGAATACAGTAGTGGAACATTTTTTTATACATTGATGGATCAATGCATGAGATTTCTAATTTATTATTTAATTCAATTGCTTATCCATCAAATGTTGATTGAGCGTTGGGTAATGATGTGTAACAGACACTGTACCAGTCGTGGAAGCATAAAAATAAATAGGGTATGAGTATTCACTCTTGCAGTATTTCTTATGCCACTGTTTTAGATTTCTATAGTCTACTGTGTCTGGTTGCTGACACTGACATCTGGTTGCTCACTATAGGAGTAAGTAGAATTTTGTGACTAGAAAAATATAATCCAGACATTATCTGGAACACTGAATAAAAGCAGGACTATATTTTTCTCTCTTAACAAAATGCATTTATTTACACTTTATGATGTTTATAAAAGTGTTATACTGCAGATATTCTAAAACCTGAAGACATTTTCTCAGTTTATTTTTTAGCAACAATTAATATTTTTCTGATGCTAGAGGTTTTCTCATTTTAATAATTCAAAAATGGTGTCTGTTTTATCTTATAAGTGGCTCTCCATGGAAAATTTAACTTGTTTTTTCTCCTTTCTTTTCTTTTTCCAATAGTTTTACCTAGCCACACTTGTGGAAATCCTGGAGAAATCCTGAAAGGAGTTCTGCATGGAACGAGATTCAACATAGGAGACAAAATCCGGTACAGCTGCCTCCCTGGCTACATCTTGGAAGGCCACGCCATCCTGACCTGCATCGTCAGCCCAGGAAATGGTGCATCGTGGGACTTCCCAGCTCCCTTTTGCAGAGGTACAGTGCTACAAGGGGGCTGGTGAGCAGACTCCAGGGCAGGGCAATGGTTTTGGAGATGCTTTTATGAAAGTTTCCACTTAAATGAAAATAATACATGTTGAGCTGACTCTTACAATGTCAGCTCATTCTGCTCCTGAAAGCAATATTACATGTTATTACTATGTAAGAAATAACATGTAATGTGTAATAACATTTAATATTGCATGTTAGTATGTAAGTAATAACATGTGATAAGTAATAATATATAATATTACATGTTATACGAGAAAAGTCATGCTTGGACCACATAAAGTCAATAGCAAGTTTATGACTTCTGATATGATTTAGCTCTGTCCTCACCCAAACCTCATGTTGAACGGTAGTTCCCACAATTCCCACATGTTGTGGGAGGAACCTGGTAGAAGGTAATTGAATCATGGGGGTAAGTGTTTCCTGTGCCGTTCTCATCATAGCACATAAGTCTTATGAGATCTGATGGTTTTAAAAAGAGGAGTTCCCCTGCACAAGCTCTCTCTTTGCCTGCTGCCATGCATGTAAGACGTGATGTGCTCCTCCTTGCCTTCTGCTATGATTGTGAGGCTTCCCCAGCCACTTGGGACGGTAAGTCTATTAAACTTCTTTCTTTTGTAAATTGCCCAGGCTCAGGTATGTCTTTATCAGCAGTGTGAAAATGAACTAATACAATAGATTGGTACCAGGAGTGGGGTACTCCTGAAAAGATACCAAAAGATGTGGAAGCGACTTTGGAACTGGATAACAGGCAGAGTTTAGAACAGTTTGGAGGACTCAGAAGGAGACAGGAAAATGTGGGAAGTTTTGGAATTCTCTAGAGACTTGTTGAATAGCTTTGACCAAAGTGCTGATGATATGGACAATGAAATCCTGGCTGAGGTGGTCTCGGATGGAGATGAGAAACTTGTTCATAACTGGACCAAAGGTGATTCTTGTTACGTTTTAGCAAAAAGACTGATGGCATTTTGCCCCTGCCCTAGAGAGTTGTGGAACTTTGAACTTGAGAGAGATGATTTGGGGTATCTGGAGGAATAAATTTCTAAGCAGCAAAGCATTCAAGAGGTGTCTTGGGTGCTGTAAAGCTTTCAGTTTTATAAGGCAAGCAAAGCATAAAAGTTCATGAACTTTGCAGTCTGACAATGTGATAGAAAAGAAAATCCCATTTTCCAAGGAGAAAATCAAGCCAACTGCAGAAATTTGTATAAGTAACAAGAAGCCAAAAGTTAATCCCCAAGACCATGGGGAAAATGCCTCCAGGGCATGTCAGAGGTCTTCACAGCAACCCCTCCCATCACAGGCCTGGAGGTCTAGGAGAATAAAAGTAGTTTTGAGGGCCGGGCCAAGGGTCCCCATGCTGTGTACAGCCTAGAGACTTGGTGCCCTGCATCCCAGCTGCTCCAACTGTGGCTGAAAGGGGCAACATAAAGCTCAGGCTGTGTCATCAGAGGATGTAAGCCTCAAGCCTTGGCAGCTTCCATGTGGTGTTGAGCCTGCGAATGTGTAGAAGTCAATAATTTGGGTTTGGGAACCTTTGCCTAGATTTCAGAGGAAGTATAGAAATTCCTAGATGTCCAGATAGAAGTTTGCTATGGGTGGCGGTCCTCATGGAGAACCTTTGCTAGGGCAGTGCAGGAGGGAAATGTGGGGTCAGAGCTCCCCCACAGAGTCCCTACTGGGGCACCGCCCTAGTTGAGCTGTGAGAAGAAGGCTACCATCCTTCAGACTCCAGAATGGTAGATCCACTGACACCTTGCATCATGCACCTGGAAAAGCTGCAGACAGTTAACAGCAGCCCATGAAAGCATCCAGGAGGGAAGCTGTATTCTTCAAAGTCACAGGGGTACACCTGCCCAAGACTGTTGGAGCTCACCTCTTGCATCAGCATGACCTGGATGTGAGACACAAAGTCAAAGGAAATGATTTTGGAGCTTTAAGATTTGACTGCCCCACTGGATTCTATACTTACATAGGGCCAGTAGACCCTTTGTTTTGACCAATTTCTCCCATTTTTGAATGGCTGTATTTACCCAATTCTTGTGCCTGCATTTGTCTAGGAAGTAACTAGCTTGTATTTTATTATACAGGTTCATAAGAGGAAGATACTTGTTTTGTCTCAGATAAGAGTTCGGAAGGTGGAATTTCGAGTTAATGCTGAAATAAGTTAAGACTTTGGGGGACTGTTGGGAAGGCATGGTTGGTTTTGAAATGTGAGGACATGAGATTTGGGTGGGTCCAGGAGCGAAATGATATGGTTTGGCTGTGTCCCTACCAAAACCTCATCTTGAATTGCAGCTCCCACAATTCTCACATGTGGGAGGAAGCCAGTGGGAGGTAATTGAACCATGGAGGCAGTTCTTTCCTGCGCTGTTCTTGTGATAGTGAATAAGTCTCTCAAGATCTGATGGTTTTAAAAATGGGTGTTTCTCTGCACAGGCTGACTTTGCCTGCTGCTATCCATATAAGACGTGGCTAGGTCCTCCTTGCCTTCCACCATGATTGTGAGGCTTCCCCAGCCATATAGAACTGTATGTCCATCAAACCTCTCTTTTGTAAATTGCCCATTCTTGGGTATGCATTATCACCAGCGTGAAAACAGACTAATGCAACTTGTTATTATATCCCCCAAATATCCAAAATTGTTTTCATCCTGTTTTTCAGTCTTCATGGATTTCTGCCTATTTTCATCACCTCTCGTTGTAGGATTCAAAGATTTGATGCCAATGTTTATGTCCTTCTAGCCCTGTTGCCTCCTTTTTATCTTTTTTATTAAAAATTACAAACACTCCTTGACCATTTAATGTGTATATTTTAAGAACTCTTTCAACACTGTCAGTCTTCTCAGATAAGGTGATTGTAAGTTAGTGCCCTCTCCCAAGTGCCGTTGTCATATTTCAGAGCAAGATGAGAATTCCTTTACCTGCAACACTGCTATTTTTACATTTTCCAAAAATACTATTTTACTGTTCCAATGACTTTAGAAAAGAGCATACTTCAACTCTTAGGTTTTGACTTTCCTAAGAAAAATTTATCTTTTGAGTACAAAATTAAAAGCATACCTAACATTTATTGAGGTCTTAATGAGATGCCAGAAAATTTGCTAAAAACTTCACTTGGATTATACCATTTAACTCTCACAACAAGCACTAATGTAATAATTATTAACACTCATTTAAAAGGTAAAGAAATAGAGTTTTAATTTGCAAAAGGTTCCAGAGATAGTAAATGTTATGACCCAAACACAAGTCTGGCTTTTAATCTAGGATTGTAAGCATGCCAATTTACAGGCTCCACTGCAAGTCATCATGTAACATTATATTATTTCCTTCAGTATGCTTTTATTTTATCCTTCGCTAGTTATTGCATATTTGCCTATTTTTTTTTCCTTTTTTTGTAAAATGTTAGAGTCTTATGAGATCTGCTTGGTGTTTATTGTATTCATAATGGCATATGACGGCGATGACTGCTACTACTACCACCACCCCACAAGCTAGTATGTATTGTCCACTTACTGTAAGCCAGGCACTACTTTAGCAAATTTAATCTTCATAAGTAGGCATTTTATTAAAGATTCATATTATAGGTGGGGAATCTGGACTTCAGGTAGGAAAAGTGACTTGCTCAAGGTATTTGTGCTAATAGATGTTAGATTTGGGATTAATCGTATTTGAATTATTCCTCTGTCCTAGAGAAATTCATATGATGACTAGTTCCTACTCTAGATGCCCATTATTTTTTCTAAAATGCTCATTTTCTCTTCATGTTCCTGAAGTTTATTATGTCCATTTTCATTTTTTTCTTATTAATTACTTTTCATCTTTATGTTGTCAAAACAGTGGTGGCCTCAAAACCTAAACCTGTATCCCATCTGCTTTCCACAGACTGTTCTCAATTAATTGATCTCACTTAAGAGAGTGCCATTGGGCATCCTAAATATATTCTTTCTTCTTCCTTATTTCTACCATTATTTCCATTACATTCTCACTCTCAGAAAAAAAATCAAAGTTACTGTGTCTTTGTTCTCTTTATTTATTTAATTTTTAATAGATCATGTAGATCTCAAGTCATACTCTTCATTTCAAGTGTCTTGGCCTTACTTCCATTTCTGCCTTTACTATGTTATTTTAGTTATTTATTTCCCTTCTCAAACAGACTGGCTTCAAGTTTGTTCAATGGGCCCCCATGTCTAAAATGTCAGTTGTCATCTGTATTAGTCCGTTATCATGCTACTATGAAGAAATACCTGAGACTGGGTAATTTATAAAGAAAAGAGGTTAATTCACTCACAGTTCTGCATGGCTGCGGAGGCCTCAGGAACCATGCAGTTATGATGGAAGGCACGTTTTCACAGGACAGCAGGAGCGAGAAGTACAGAGTGAAGGGTGAAAGACCCTTATAAAGCCATCATATCTCATGAGAACTCACCCACTGTCACAAGAACAGCATGGAGGACCCACCCCCATGATCTAATCACCTCCCACAATGTGCCTCCCCAACTCATGGGGATTAGGGGATTAGAATTTAGGTTACAATTCAAGGTGAAATTTTCGGTGAGGACACAGCCAAAGCATACCATCATCCTACTTTCTACTCCTGACTCACTCTCTCCTAACATCCATCTTCATCCTAACATTTCTTTTATCAGCCAAACTACTTTGGTGACTCAATGAGAATAAAGTACAAACCTTCAACAGGGCTTCCTATATGCTTCTTACCTCGTCGTAACTAAATGGTGCAATTCCACCTGGTAGTGTACCCAACATGAGTGTAAAGCTTTTTGCTCCACAAAGCTGTGTTTTTCTGTGGCCGACCTATCCTGGCTGGCCTGAGAACTATCTGCTTCTTTTCCAAGTTCTGTGTTCCTTGACATCATGTGGTTAGCTTATTATCTGTCATAGTGGGACTACAGCATAAGAATTGGCAAACACTGCAAAGTAGGTTTTCAGTTTGTTTGTTTGTTTGTTTGTTGTTTGGTTGGTTTTTAAAGAATTCGCTCAGCAGCATACTACACCTTGCCAAATTCCAAACTTTTGCTCAGGTTTTTACACTGCCACAGAGTCTCCCTGTCATCTCCCTACAGCCATAAATCTTAATCATTTGTCAACTTCAAACTTAAATCTAAATTTTAGTTATCATTACAACCCCTTATTACAGTTTCTTTAAGGAAAAAAGAAGTCCCTTGATCTCTCAGATAGCATTTGTCTGATTGCTATTTTATATTTTGACATAATATCTTAATGGTGTTAGCTTGTAGCTTCCCAGGAGATAAGATACCACCATTAAAACTGTGAGTGGCAGTGTCCTTAGTTCCTTGTGACATTAAAACTTGGCCTAAGCCAAGAGTATTTTCCTTCATTGTTTATTGCTTTTTTGCTTACATATCCTCCAGTGGTTTTCTTCTTAATTGGAGGATCTTTAAAATTTCCATAATCGTATCTGTAGTCAAAGTTGACATAACAGTCAGCTAAGTGTCTTTCCTATGCTGCCACCCATGTGGTAAATCCCAATGAGATCAGTGTGCTTTTATCACAGGAAACTTTGTTCTTCTGTATTATAGATTATTACATTTACATTTAAATTTTGCTTTTCTCAGTGTCTGGTGTAGTATGACTTCAAATTGCGTTCCATTACATGTTATTTTATAAAACATATTTGAATGATGCAGCACAGTTTCTCATGGATTTGGATAACTAGATTATAAAGAAAAAATGATCTAATTCTTGTAAATGTGTAAATGTGACATATTTATGAGAGATGTAAATTTCAACCATATGGACTGAGATAATTCACACGAATGAAATGAGTATATATTCTGCTTCCCCAAAGTTCTATTAATACTTATTTATTTGCAGGAACTGGTTGAAGAGTTTTTTTTTTTTTTATAGAGTTCCTAACAGTAGCATGACTGTCTCCTTCTACAATGATCTTTTGCCAGGGTTATAAAAGTTTATAATTTATTCAAACTAGCAATATTTTCCCTGAATAATGACACCTAAATGTATTATATATGTAGCCGTGATGTTCTTTAAAGAAAAAGGTATAACTGTATATTTAATTAATAGAAAATAATTAACAGAACTAAATCAGAGGCCAGTCACCTTTGCTTAAAACTGTGTCCCTTAAACAGGGAACAAACATCACATTGACATTAAAAATGAGACCTCAAAATTCATTTTTCTTGAGAGGTAATCTTTCAACTATTCGTTATTCTTGAGTCTTTCAACTTAAGATCTGTGTCTTTCTTAATTCACCTTATTCATTGTATATTATTGGCATGTTCTGCCAGTCTTAAAAAGGATTTACTGTTTCACTTCTTACAGGCATGATGTCTGTCTAGGGGAGAAATATGAAAAAAGAGAAGAAGCAGCTAGATAGTTTCAATGAAAAATGCTTTTGCCTCTTGATTTAAATGCCTTCTTAATTTGCTTTATGTTTCCCATACTTTATTATTGATTCATAAATTATTAAATAATAATGGTACAGCCTAGGATAGATTATAAATTACTTTGAGATCTAGGGTCCTACAGGGAAATAGAGGATCAAATGCAAAACAAGGTATTCTTCCTGACTGGAAAACATGAAAGATGGTCCACTGTGTGGATTTTGGATAGGGGCATACAAGAAGGTAGAAAGGAAGCAGGTAAATATTTGTATTTAGAAAATCCTCCTCCATGAGAAAGCTAACATCTGATCCAGAACACTCCCCCAGGAGGGGGTGCATTTCTTCACAGGAGCTCACATCCATGGAAAATTACAGTCTCAACATCTCTTGCAGCCCCTTCGGTGTCCCCTTTTATTCCATTGCTCCAATTCTGAATCTTATTTTTGTGAGTATTAGTCTGATGTTGTCCCGGCTGCCTAATTCTACCTATGTAATCACCAAGGCATCAGGCCGTTTAAACCCACCCAGGCCTAGCCCAGGCCAATCGTACTTCAGACAAAGATTCATGCTCCCTCACCTGAACACCACCTTTTTACATGCTTTCATTTATTCTATGATGGAACACTTTGTTTTAGCAAACCTTACTTAAGAAAACAATTCTCAGCAGCATTGCAGAGCTTAGATCCCTGAAGTCATACTCAGGAAGTTCCCAGTCACAAGCTGTCATAAACTACGTATGTTTATGTATGCCGTACTTCACAGAGCGGCCTGCAGTAGCTCCTATGTGCAACTCCAATGAACCACCATAGGAAGGTATCCACAAGTCACATTTATGCAGTGTCTCCTTGGCAATATGCTGAGGCCCATAAATGCAAGATCCTGCTTGTACCTCAAAGAACCTTAAGAAATGGGCAGGGAAAATATGATTATTTCTGTAATAAGGGTGAAAAACTAAAGTCTCAAATTGACTTGACCTCTGATTTAAATTTCTGACTTGGACATTGTAACAAGTCAGCTATAGTTTGGGTGGTCTCATCCCAACTTTACTAACATTGAAGATCAGTAACATATGAACATGGTTGAAGAGTTTAATAATAAAGTTTTCCCATGAAAGTAAAACTTCCATCAGCGTATCCATACTCTTATGCCACAGAATCCATAAGATTTAACCATTTCTGGTTTTCTGTCATTATTGTCTTTTATGTAATTTGTTTACATTATTCTTCATGCTTTATCCGTTGTGAACTTTCTCAATTGACACCTTGATATGAGTATTAATATGTTACATCACTTCTGTTTCCCATGTCTTCTTACTATCTGTTATATTTATGAACTGGAATAATACAACTGATTCTTTATGCTGTATTTCTTTAATTTTTGGTAACATCTCTTGTCTTTCCATTTAGTAAGATGTGAATATTCTTGCTTCTACTCTTTCTAGTATATTTTCTCTCCTGTTTTGGCCTCTATGTTCTCTCAATTGCAATAGAACCTTTGCAGTGTCAAATATGTCAGCCTTTATATTTAATTAAATAATAATAATGAAGTCGCTCTTAATGTATCTAAAGTCTGCTTGTAAAAGTTGAAAAGCAGTGGTCGGGTGCTGTGGCTCACGCCTGTAATCCCAGCACTTTGGGAGGCCAAGGCGGGCAGATCCCGAGGTCAGGAGATCGAGGCCATCCTGGCTAACATGCTGAAACCCCGTCTCTACTAAAAATACACACACAAAAAAAAAAAAAAAAAAAAAAAAAAAAAAATTAGCCGAGCGTAGCGGTGGGCGCTTGTAGTCCCAGCTACTCGGGAGGCTGAGGCAGGAGAATGGCGTGAACCCTGGAGGCGGAGCTTGCAGTGAGCCGAGATCGCGCCACTGCACTCTAGCCTGGGCGACAGAGCGAGACTCCGTGTCAGGAAAAAAAAAAAAAAAAAAGTTGAAAAGCAGTAAGCATTCATATTTTGGTAAGTGCGTGAATATTGCTCAGCACAGAGCCAAGCGTATGCCTGTAATTAGACTTCCTCTTCTGTGATTCCAACATTGCAATCCCTAATGCTACTCAACCCAGAGTCTAGATGAGTGCTGGCTTTGCCTCAATTATTCATAATGAAATTGGAATTACTTTTGTTTCACATTTGGACCAGGGCATTGTTGTTCTGCTTGTTTCATTAATACAGTATTAATGGGCTCAAACAGAAATACTCTTTGCTCAAGTTAAATTCAAAATGAGTCTCAATGATGGGTAGTTGGTTCAGATGTTTTTATGCGCAGCGGTGATTTGGAGATGGCCACCTTTCACATCTGGCTTCCCTGAAGGTCTGTAGCCTGCAACATTGCACTGGGTGAAAAGGAAGAACTTGAGTTGTGATGGGCAGTTCCTCCACACATTAGAGTGCATCTCCTGTACATCCACTGCATTAGCTGAAGCTCAACCATGAGGCCATATTTCACTGCAAAGAGAGCCAGGAAATGGAAGCATCTGTGAGCTCAGGAAGAAGAAAAACACGGATTTGGTAAAAGACTGTCCCATCTTTGCCATACTGCTATTTATTTGCCCTCAAATTTTGAATTATCCTTATTTTTCTCTCATTACTTAGTTGCACACTTGCTTTCATCACAATAATCCATGTATTTTCTGCTTCTTAACTATGTGAATTCTTGCTCCGAATGAACTCTCTTCTTCTTTCTGAAGACCACTGAATTGTTTCTCTAACTTACACGATTGCTTAATATGTGGAATACAATTGTTTTCTCTGATTCCCAAAGTTTCTAGTTGTCTGTTCATCCAGTGAGTTGTCACTTCACCACAGCTTTTCAATATCCCACTTGCCTTCATTTCCCCCAAATCTACCACATTTCTCTCCCTGAGCGCTCACCCAGAGGGTTCCAGAATGGTTTCTAGGACTGTCGCAAAGCAGTAACTTGGAGGCTTCTCTTTACTCGTGCCCTCAATGCACACCCTGTTTCATGACACCTTCTTGTGCCTCAGTTTCACCTCAAATGCTTTCTACCAAATGTTGCTTCGGAGGGAAGTCTTTAAACCTGAGCAAGGCTGCAAATGTCCTTATCTGCATCCACGCCCATGGATGTATTGGCTAAGTACAAACTGTACATAGAAAATATGTCCTCCCATAATTTTTACAGTGTTGCTTCATGATTTTAAGTATGCTATTCACTTCTGCTGAATTGGAGGGGTGTTCACTAAATAATACTTCTCTTCCTTGTCTGAAATCTGAAATACATAAGAGATAAGCAAATGAATAGTGAGGCATAGACCAAAATAGTCAGCACCTTTATTACCAATAACAATGCTATTGTTATATATATATATATACACATAAATATACATATATATTAATATATATACAAATATATACATATTTATGTATATATATATATTCTATATCCATTCATATATATATGTGTGTGTGTGGATACATGCTCCCATATGTATTCATCTGTATATTAAAGAATGAAAAATATAGGCACCTGGACTTTCCAGTGTTGGACTCCAGAATTAGACAGACCTAACTATCCTTTCCTAGGCAGCACTTGACTGAAGCTAGTTGAAAAAAATAAAGATCAAAAGAGCTAGTCAGCTTTGTTGATGATCTGGGGTAGTTTGTTTTCCTTACAAGCTAGAGAGGGGGATGGCACTATTTCATTGTTATCTCTGAGCCAACTAGAGCCCCGGGTCTTTAGTTTCTTTAATTTAGTTTTATCACTAAATGGCTTCTTCATTTGTCACTCAAGATAAAGATTATTGGGGAGGGGACGGGGATAGGTAAAGGGATATTGCAACAATACATAGAGAAAAAAATAGTCACTCCGAACAAGTTTCGCAGGTATGCGCCAAAAGAGAAAAGGGATGGGGAGAGAGAGTTTAAAAAGAGCAGCTACATGTGATAAGTCATTTGAGGGCATCAGGATAAGACTTAGCATGAGGATGATCCCAGGTGCACCTGCTCAGAAGGAGCTGATCCTTGCTGGAGCATCCACACTCTACTGAGGACGATGCTGGGGATGTAGCGGATTCAACTGCCACACGCTTAACCAACAAAAGCCAGGTCCTTAGTAATTAGAGCAGTGCTGTCCACTCAACATATAACACAATCCATAATGTGAGCCACAGATGAAGTTAAAAATCCCCAGATGCGACACGGAAAATGTGACATGAAACAAGTGAAATAAACTTTAATAATGGATTTTGTCAACCTCATACTTCCAAAGGATTATAATTTTAATGCAGAATTAATGTAAACTGTAAGTGAAGTATTTTGATTTTCAAAAGATGCTAGTTTCAAAATCTGATGTGTATTTCAGTTATGCCATTTTGCAATGCTGACTAGCCACATTTCACGTGCTCATGAGCTGCATACACTTCAGGCTACTGTATTGAGCCTCAACTTTAAACTTGTTGTATCCTCTATCCTCATTATTGCTAATGCTTGTAGAGCTCTGATGCTGTCACTGGGTTTTATTCTCACTTACGTTGTAGGGTTTAATAAATAGATGCAGTTTAATCATAAAGACTGATAAGGCAATGGGTCTGAGATATCAAAGTCCACGTCACAATGTGTTGGAAATTCTTCCCTTTAAGTTTCAGCAATTGCTGAAGCATATTTGAGCTGAGTAGGACCAAAAATAGGGTCCCTTTTAAAATTAGTTTAGGCAAAAGATAAGAGTGAGCTAACTCTTGATTAATCTAAAAAGTTTTCTCAAAAGAAATCTCATTTCAGACCTTATCTCAAGGTTGGAAGTAATGACGTTGGGTCTAATGAATGAAGATTACAGAAGACTTTGAGGAACACGCGGATTCGCTGAGGGAGTAAAATGAAAACAGCTTTGTTATCTGTCCTGGAATAAGTAAGAAAAAATAAAGAAGAGTGATTCTAGGGACCTAGCAGTTTTGATCTCTTACCATAAGAGAATTGGAGGCCTTTCTCAGACTTCTCCATCTTGGTTATGTATTCTTCTTATCTGAGATGTTCACCCATCCAGAAAGCAGTAGAGGTGAGATCTGGACCCAGGCAGCCTGACCCTAGCGGTCACATAACCAAGCCCTATCCTATAATATCAATAGAGCATAGAAAAAGTAAATATTTTGAACAGATGTCATGCTCAGTGTCAGTTTAAGGATTAAATGAAATACAACATCTTGCAGTCTTGAGCACAGAAAGAAGGGGATTAAAGTGCTTGTCGTGGTGAAACAGCTTGTTCAGCAGCTCTGCACTGGTCACCTGGGGCAAATCCCAGTGCTGTCAATTGGACACTGTGTGTCTTTGGTCAATTTATTTAATCTGTCTGGCCTCAAGATTTTTATGTGTATAAAAGTGCCTACTTGAGAAATCTGTTGTAAAGATTAAATGGCATAACCCAGGTAAAATGGTTAGCAAAGAGCCTGACACATAGAGAAACTCTAAAAATATCAGCTGCTATAATTACTGTCTCTATCTCCTCTCCCTTCCACTCTTAAGCACGATTTTAGATTTCAGAACTAAGTGCCCAGAGCGGAATGGCAAACAGTTTGAAAAGAAATTCATGTAAGCTACAGGATCTCAATATTGGTAGCTCTTAAAAAAAAGGGTTTTTTTTTTTTTTTTTAATGAATTACTGCTATTCTTTAGAATAAGAAACTAGCAGACTGACTTGAGGAGAGAAATGGTTTGGGGCTCAGGAAAAAGGACAAGAGTGCCTAGTGAAAGAAAGGCCTGTGTGGCAGTGGGTCACTTTATTTTACACACCACCACTTGGACAGAAATATTGGGAAAACTACTTCTACAACAGGCACATTCATACCCACGTGCATGTAAATAACTGACAAAGCAGGAGCAGCATTATCTCAGACAACTGCCACTTTAAGTTCCAGCTCCCTTTCTAACCTCATGCATTTCAAGGAAATCACTTGTCTTCTGACAACAAGCAGCCAGCAAGAGCAGACCGTAAAACACAGATACGACAGCTCAGGCACAGAGGGAATGGGGAATGTCTCTTGGGTAACCACCAAACTTCACATTCATGCAATGGGCCCCAGTAAAACAGTGGGCCCTAATAAGGGCCCTAATAAGGGAATGTTCCCTTCCTTTTAGGTACATGAAGATAGGGAAGCTAAAAGCAGACTTGGTAGTATGCTTGCAGCTTCACGGAGATGTATGGGAACAGACACAAAACTCTCCCTCCCAGATAAGCAAGAGAGAGACACAGAAACATTCCAAGCCTGTGATAAGCTCTCTCGCCCTGAATCTTTAAAAACTCTTAGTCTGTAAGAGAGAGTGCCTCTGACCTAACTCAGCCAGGAGCCTCTCTCAGGTTTATTGTCCATAATAAACCTGTCTTGGACTGTTGAGCTGCTTTTTGTGTTTCTTTCCTTTTTCTTTAAGTCTTACGATACCATGGCCTAGTACAAAAATATGTATCTAGCAGTAGTCCAGATATAGACAATTTCTAGCAAATGGAGTAGCATCTGTCTCAAAGCGATAAAGATTTCATCTTAGTCACTGTAATTGTAGATTTTAAGAAAGTGTGGTAATCAGAGTTAAACACAAAGCAATCACAAAATGTCAGACAATGTTTACATGCCTTACGTATGTTCTTGTTATTAACTTTCATGACAAGTCTAGAAGTTATATATTATCATCATCCCTCTGGTTTAGATGAGACTCCATCACAGAGGAATTCAGTGACTTCACCAAGGTCCCACGCTGTATGTGGGGAAGGCAGAATTTGACCCTGGACACTTTGGCTACAGAGTCTGTGCCACGGCCCTTGTCACATGCTGTCCGTTCTCTTCTAACTCAAGAGAAAAATAAATATTTCTAAAAGAACCTAACTTAAAATTGAGAAACAAATATTACAACTTGAATTAAACAAGTGTTTTCTCCTTGAGAAACATGTGCTTGAATCCTGAATAGTCTGAGTGGGGCAGGGGGTGCTGGTTGCCTGGAGAGGCTCTGCTTTTCTCATCAAAGCAGGTAACTGGCTGGTCCCAGAGAGAGGGAAGCTGCTGGGCTTTGGCTGCCTCCCCTTCCTCCACCTGCTCCTTGTGCAAAGTAGGTACAGCTGTGTTGACAGACCTGCAGCTACTCAGAGATTGCAAACTGGGAGAGAACAGGAATCGAGGCAGGAAGTTGCCAAGAGAGAAAGATGATGGCAGCTCCTCGGCATTATTTGTGGATGAAAATGAATACACATTTAAGCCAGGCCTTGATAAAAATGGCCACAGACTGTAATCCCAAAAGATAGACTCTCAAACACCATAATACCAAATGTTTAAATCATAAAAAGTCAGAATCCTGAAAATATAATTCTGGAAAATATTTTTAAATTATGTAAAAGATGTGTATTTATTTTTTATAAAGGGTTTCTTTGAAAAAAGACATAAAAACACACAAAACACTTTGTAGGATACTTTATGCCATACAATAGGCTATAATAACCAGCTTATTTTTGCAAGCATACATACCCACACTAGTGACAGTTTCATGGGTATGACAGTTACGAGTGGACAAACCATACTCATGAAGCAATTAATCAAAATGCAACATGTATAAATGCATGCCGCTATAGTTGCCCATTGTGTGCAACCAGCTTTATGATTGGAGTCATCAGAAATACCGTGATGATTAGCCTAAGTCCTTTGGTCAGTTGAAAACCATGATGGATCACCACCAGATATACAGTCACCCAAACAGCTGAGATCTCCAGAAATGTTATCTTTTCCAAATGCAGATTACAAAGAGGACATCTCTTCATTTATTTAGGAAGTTTCAGCATTTGTACCATGCACACACAATGCCGAGGCACAAAGTCAATCCTGTGACCATGCAGTTTTTGAAGTCGAATTTGAAAAAAAAAATTCTTAATTAGAACTCTCTAATATTTTCTACACAATTTAGAGTTATAAACGAGGTGGCAGCTGGGCACGGTGGCTCACGCCTGTAATTCCAGCACTTTGGGAGACCAAGGTGGGTGGATCATCTGAGATCGGGAGTTCGAGACCAGCCTGACCAACATGGAGAAACCCCGTCTCTACTAAAAAAACAAAATTAGCTGGGAATGCTGGTGCATGCCTGTAATCCTAGCTACTCAGGAAGAGTGAGGCAGGAGAATCGATTGAACCCGGGAGGCGGAGGTTGTAGTGAGCCAAGATCGCACCATTGCACTCCAGCCTGGGCAACAAGAGCGAAACTTTGTCCTCCCTCCCCTAAAAAGAAAGAAATTATGTGGCATTTGATATTAGAAATGATGAGAAGATGAATTGCATAGCCTTGAATTGTGAAAAAAATAGTGCTGACAATTTAAAATAGTAGAAAAAACTTTAAAAAAAGATATCTAGAAGGAAGCTTCAACATACACAAAAGTGTATTGCAGGGGTAGATATGTACAATTGCATGGAGAGCGTCCAGCAAGGCTGGCTGAACACCGCGGTCACTGAGTACATTCTGAAGTCTTGCCTCCGGATGAATATCTGCTTTTGTTCCTTTATGATGTGGCTCTTCCTTCTGAAAGTCTTCTATGATTTCTGTTATTGTGATTTCAGGGTTTTAGACATTAGGGATTTTGACTTTAAGGAGTTTCATCTTTTGAGATTTCAACAATTGGGATTATGGCATTTGGGATTGTGTTTTTCAGGATTGTGAACCATACCCAACTAAAACTGCTGTTCTTGGTCTTTGATAGACATGACTTCCAACAACCTCATGGATGTCAAATAAAACAACGACCAAAAAAACCCAACTATACACATAAACTTAGGTCAACAGAGCCCTTAACCCAAGAGGGTGGTTTGGCTATAGGGTCTTCCTAACATGTTACTTAAAGGCTAAATCTATTTTGCTGAAGCTCTTGCTTTACAGAGTAAGACAAACCTGTAGAAGACAAAGCAAAGAGTCATCTCTTCACCCAAATAATTTTCCTCATCTGGGGAAAGGCTTTTTAGGATTGAGGACTAAGTGAATCTTCATCTTTTCTCCTCTTTCCTTCTCATAGCCCCAGATCCTTCACTAAAACCTTGGACCTCCTTGTCCTCCAGGAAGCTTGCATTCTTGGGCAGAGGCCTGAGACCTGGAGACGTCTAAGAGACAGGCTCAGTGCAGCTGCAGGGTCATGCATCTTCTCTGCCACTGGCTCGATCATCTCGGGAAGCCAATTCAGGCAAGAGGAGATTGCAAAATGTCTGAGAGTCAGTTGGTCAGTAGTTAATTATTCCCCATTTATTTTCTATTTCCATCTACTGGAATCTTTTTAGGTACCTATGAATTACTCAAGCAGGAAAGCAAAGGGAATGGAGAGATCACATGACTAAATATTTTACTTAGACTAAACCTCTCTGGCAAGTGTTACGTTATGAACGTTCAATGCTTTTATGCAATCCTATCTAAAATGTTTTATATGAACTTTTATATGATCCCATCCCAAAATTTCCTGGTAAATATTAATGGGTAGATTTTCCAGATATGGAATCACATTCTCTGAGAGCTTAGATGTCATGTCCAAGGCTGAAAGACAGTGGCTGATAAGGCCAGCTCTGACTTGGTGCTTTTCTACATTTCCCTCCAACGGCAACCTTCTTGGGGGCAGTTGAAGAGACATTTTGTTGTTTGTTGCCATTTGTTTGTTTCTGTTTTGCTTGGAAGCATGAGATGTAAACCATAGAAAACGGCAGCATACGAACCATTATTGGGAAGTTACGCCGCTTGCTTAGTGAATGAAGTTTCACCCTTGTTTTTGTCTGAACACATACATTTAAGATAAGTATTCACCTAAACATGTCAAAACACATTGTCAGTATTTTTCAACAGTTTTAGATAAAATGGGATGTAGCAGCTGTCTTGAGTTTTTTTTTTTTTTTTTTTTTTAAGATTCAAACTGATTTTTATCTATTTTGAGACTGTTGTATTTCTTGGAGACTGAATGATAGTCATTGGGCCAAGATGCCACTAAATAACATAGCAGTAGCACTGATACCTTTAATAAAACATGCTAAATAGTGTAGGCCCATTGTTGCTTTTAGACCTATCTGAAGCTGTGGTTTTCTTTAATTGTTAAGCCTTACGTAATGTGACTGGAAATGGCAATATGTCACTTGCCAATTCTATATGAACTGTCAGTCGAGGTTTTTTAATCATAGGCATTCTGCTACTAGAGATGAAAAGGCAGGAAAACTAGGAACGACATAGCCAGAGGGGAGAAGGAAGAGAAGTCATGCTTTTTATGGGTGCCTATAAATTCTGCGATATTTAAAACACAGCTGTGTTTTTATCAATTATGTTTCAGCGGTAACATTGTAAAATGAATCTTAAATGATCTGTCACGTCAGGACAAGAAATACAAAGTAAGACTGAATGGGACAGTTTTTATATAAGAAACCTAGCTTTCAATTTTTTGAGTAGTTTTAGACAATTTGGTTTTAAGCACCTTTCTTGCATACTTTGCAATAAACAATTCCAGTGTAAATCGTATCAAAATTAAAACTGTTCAAAAAAATCAGTCTTAGATTCTAGTAAACCTGGTCTACGTGGTTTGCATATTTGCTGTGCTACATTTTCTGCCAAGCACGTCATTCACGTTATCTCATCCCATACAATCTTGTAACAGGCTTAAAAAATAATCAGAAGTGGCTCTGCCCATTATTTTCAGCTTTGTGGGTTACTTTGTAGTATTTCTAAAATTATTTTATTCCATGCAGATACCATGTTAGGTTATAGAGCTGTAAAGATGAATGTGTCTAGTGCCAGAATGAATCCATGCCCAGGTAAATGCCCTTCTTTGTGATGGGCAGTCATGCGAAGTGTTTACCAGCAAGGACTTTGTCATTCTAGCTCCAGCCTCATCACAAGTTGGCACAGCTCAGACGAGCTCTTTTCTTGCTAAGACCCAGGCTCTGAATTTGTTAAGTTGGGCTAATATTACTTTTAATCTCACAGGAGTGATAAAGATTAGATGAGATGATCCAGGTGCTTAATACCAATAACGGCTATTAGGATCGCATAGTAGTCCTTGAAGAGTAAGGGGGAACAGACATCAAAAGAAGCCAACTCAATGTCTAAAAAGCTTCTTAGAGGCTGAAGTCACAGAACAGAGAACATTTATATTCTCCTGGAGAAGATTAGTGTTAAATCATACACACTTCTATGTGCATTGACATAATTTGATTCTCAATATTTTACAGATTATTTTCTCTCTATAATTGAATGTGATGAATGTTTCCCATGTTCACTTCGACACGCAATGCCATAATTAGTGTCTCTGTACATATAGCACTGTGTTTGTTGCTTCTGTTAGATTTTTTTCCTAAGGAAAGATTTCTAGGAATGTTGTTTATGCTTTGCAAACTTAATGAATGCATTTCTAATGTTATGACAGTTCACCACAATTAATATAACTTTTGATACTTGCATTTCTTTTTAATTTGCTGAGTTTGAGGGCATTGAAATGATGCTCAAAAGTTGTTTTTATTGCCTTTGATTTCCAATACACATCAATATTTCTCCGTATGTCCTTTCAGTATTTACGTGTGTTAATTCTTTCTTCCAAGGAACGTTTATTGAGGACCTGCAAAGTATTACATACACTTATCAATCAGGGCTGGTAAACATTTTTTGTCAAAGGCCAGATAGCAAATATTTTGTTTTCATGTCATATGATCTCTGTTTTAGCTACCCTTGTCTGTCACTGTAGATCAAAAGACCCCATAGACACCACCTAAACAGATAGACTGGCTGTGTTTCAGTAAAGCCTAATGTATAAAACCAGATACTGGACTGAATGTAACCCACAAGCTATAGTTCGCCAACATTTGTTGTAGCTGCTGGGGCTACAATATGAACAAAACAAGAAAGAATTCCAATCTTTGCAGAAATATCATTTTAATGGGTGGAGATAGATAACATAAATAAGCAAATGAGAAGCAACAGATAAACTTTGCTGTCCTGTTGAAATAAGTGTTTGTAAGTGTTCTCACTGAGAAGCTGACATGTAATTAAGAGCTATGGTGACCATCTGCCTGGTCACTGCCTGGACAGGACTCTCCTGGTCTTATCACCTAAGATCCCATGTCCTGGAAACCCCCCTGATAGTAGAAAACCGGAATATTTGGACCTCTAATGAACGGGACAGAGTGAGCCCTGCGAGAATATCAGAAATGTGGTTCTGACAGAGGGATCAACCAGGTGTTTGGCCTTGAGACAACAGCGTACGGTGAGTGAACGAAGAATAGAGCAACGGCAGTGTGGCCTGAGCAGATGGGATAATTGGAGGGTTGTAGGAGAGACAGTCAGAGGATAGGAGAGGGGAAAGGTCCCGGAGGATCCCAGAGGATAGGAGTGGGCCCTGTAGATCAGCCTTTGGACTTTAACCTCTATACTGAGCAGTGTGGGAGCACAATGGGGGGATACGAGAAGAAAAACGACATCGTGTGACACAGCATTTGAGAGGATTACTCTGGCTACTTATGAGAAAAGAACATAAGCTGAGAAGGGAAAAAATAAAAAACCTATTAGAAAATCATTGCAAAATGAAAATGAGAGGTGTTGTTACTTGAGAGATGACAGGAGCAGAGGAGATGGCCAGACACATTTGGACTCAGAATGCTGTTTAAAGAAGGTGCTGATGGAATTTCCCTACACAGTGGTTGTGACACATGAGAGACATAGAAGAGTCATGGATGGCACCGTGTGTCTTCTCGTGCAACACTGGAAGAATGGAGTTACCGTTTATTGAGATGGAGAAGACTGTGAGATTGCAGATTTGAAAATGGAAAGAGCAAAAGAACCATTTTAGGGCTAGTTAGTCTGGATTGCTATTTAGACATTCTATGGAGTTGAAATAGGGAGTTGGATACATAAAGCTGGAATTCAGGAGACATTCATGGAACTGATGGACACTCTGAAAACTGTAGACATACAGATGACATAGTCACTGAGGCCTACTGAGGGGAGGAAGGAGGTGGTGACGGTTGAATAACTACCTGCCAGGTGCTGTGATCACTACCTGGGTGTAGGGATCATGCATACACCACACCTCGAAACACAAGATTTATGCAAGTAACAAACCTGCATGTGTACCCCTGAAACAAAAATAAAAGTTAAGAATAAAACATAAAAATAAATCCACGCGACGCAAACTGGATGAGATCAACAAGGCAATGAATGAATGTATTTAGGAAGAGAAGAGGTGAAGAGAATGAATCTTGGACACCCTACCAAGGATTGGAAGATGAAATGAAACTGGCATGATGACTCAGAAGAACTGGCCAATAAGATTAGAGAAAGCCTGAAGAGTAGTATCTAAAGAGACGAGTGAGTAAAACGGCATAGAATCATATACAGTCAGCCCTGTTTACTGGTGGGTTCTGCATCCAGTTTCAATGAAATGTGGATGAAAAATATATATATATTTTAAATCTAGAAAATGTTTCATTGTGGCTATGTCTACAATATAGCTAGGCATATGATGGCTGCATCTGTACCGACCATGTACTGACTTTTTTTTTCCTTGTCATTATTACCTAAACAATACAGTATAACAGCCATTTCTGTGACATTTATATTTGGTATTATAAATAATGGAGAGATGATTTAAAGTATATGGGAAGATGTGTATAAGTTATATGCAAATAAAATTCCATTTTATATAAGGGACTTGAGCATTGTGGATCCTGGAACCAATTCCCAATGGATACCAAAGATGACTGTGCACATATTATTCCAGTGTAATTTTTATTTGGTTTTAATATTATACTACACTTGTATAAGATGTAACCACTGGGAGAAAATGAGAAAAAAGTATGCTGATAACTCCGTACTATTTTGCAAGTTCTTGTGACTTTCTAATTATTTCGTAGTTTAAAAATTTAGGAAGTGTAGGAATGAAAAGAATTCAAGGATGAGGAAATGGATGAATGTTAAATGTCACTGAGATCTTGAGTGAGATGAATCCTAGGAACTGACTCTTGGATTTCTGGCTGTGGCTGACATGTGGGCCTTCTGCAGGAAACCCAGGAGGGTGAAACTCTGACTCAAGTGGGTTCAAGAGAGGATGTAACAAGGTTAAAGACCGCAAATGTGGACATCTTTGAGACGTGTTGCAGTGAAAGGAATTTCAGAAAGTAAGGCTAGAGGGGAATGTGGAGTCTGGAAGCAGACATGGAATCAAAAGAAAAGTCTATAACATTGTTTTTGAATGGGGGCAATTGGAGCACGGTTATATGCAGAGAGCAATTCTCCACTAAAAACACAAATAGTCGTTTTGAAAGAGAAGAAAACTGGTAAAGTCGTGGCTTAAAAACTTGATCAGAGAGGAAAGGTAGAACACAAACAGGTGTACCCACTAGGTAGAAATATTTGCAGGAAAGATATTTTATAAGTAGGCATCAAAATTGAAGGTTATAGATTACATAATTTATCTTTCATTGCTTCTATTTTCTTTGTGAAATGGAAACCAAAGTCATCAGGTGGCAGTGAGGATTTGGCAAGAGATGCTGGCAGCTTTAGAAGGAAGAAGGCATGAAACAGTCATCCCCCAGAAAGGGAGCAGTGAACAGATACAGAAAGTGAAGCGGGATTGCTGGGCATCATTATGGGCCAATGTAGGATTATGGCCATATATGTAAAGTTAGACCTTTCAGTATGTTTTTGGTTTTGGAATTCCTCCAGCTGTTTTACCTGCAAGGATATAAAAGTGGACTTGGCCTAGACTGGAACCAAAGGTGTTTTACTGTGATGATGGCAGAGTTATGGTAAATGCAAGGAAGTGCATTAGGCCATGAGCCCTAAGGATGGTAAGACAAGAGATGAGGACATGATAGGGACAAGGAAAAGAAAGTGAAGGGGAGGCAGAGTCAGGGAACTCTAGGTCCCATGAGTCAAAAAATTATGAGTTTAGGTGTTTGGGTAAGTGACCTGGTATGGAGAGTTGGGCTCAGAATGTAGTCAGACTGCAGCTGTAGAAACTGATGCCTTACTGGTAGTGAGAAGATAGAGGGTGATGATGGGAATGGTGATGGCATGGCTGAGGTAGAGTTGGGCTGTTGGAAGAGAGGGGAGAATTAATCAAAGAGGTTATGTTTTTCCCAGGATTACCTGTGTTGACATTGAAATGACCGAGAATTTGTGCAGAGGTAGAGGTGAAGAGGCTGACAGAGGGCCCGAAGTTTAAATCTTCTTGGAATAGTGGATTTCAAGTAGGGGTTTGTAGATGACTACAAGGCAGAGGGTGCCAGATTATTATGGCAAGAGACTCAAAGCTGGGCACATGAGGGAGGGAAGACCATGAGTCACCTGGAAGTAGCCATGAGATGCATGTGGGTGGGCACAGTCTGCCAGCAGGACCAGTGTACGTGGACTACAGATGTAAAACATTGGCTACTGAGATGACTTCAGAGAAGACATTCAGGTTTCCATCAGAGGAAGAAGGGAAGGAAAATATGTCAGAAGTAGTTGGAATGTAGGAAATTCTGTTTATAATTGACTTTCAGTTTTCGAGGAAGTAGTAGGAGACATTCAGGAGCATAGGAAGAATTAAGATTAGGGGGTCAGAAAATAAGATGTGTAGATCTTTTAGAGGATGAGAGTTGGAGGGATAAAGGGCGACAGAGGAGACCAGGGCTTTTTGCAGGGACTGTTGTAAAGGAAGACAAAGGATGTACGAGAGTACCCTCTTAATGGCCTCAGGCATGAAGTAAGTGGGGTTGACTCTCTGAGAACAGGAGGGAGGGGGATGGAGCAGGAATGGTCCATGTCTCTGGGTTCCTTTCATTCTGGCTCCTGGAGGAGTGAGCGCCTGTGGAGGTAGGTACATCCTGACCACCAACTCTTTGTGGCCCTTCCTTCCTCAATAATATCTCCCAGTATTACAAGCTATTATATTACATATGTGGGTGTATTTCTTATTTCTTTCCTGGATATTTCCCCATGCAATTGTAAAAATTGAGTTGGAATTACACATCCAACTGTATAACCTGCATTTTTAAATTTAACATCATGACTTAGAAATTCACTGAAGGAATATTATAAATGCTTGGTAAACACATTTGATGACCCTATGGTTTGAATGTATCATAGCTTATTTAATGATGTATCCGCTGTTGAATATTTAGATTATTTCAATTTTTCTTTATGATAAACATGGCAGTTTGCTTCTAAGTAATGTTCTATTCTGTATTTTAAATTATGTCCGTAAGATAGATTTCCAGCAAGTTTTATACCCACAAAAGGGGCACAAAAATTCTAGAGTTGAGAAATACACTTTTTTAAAAAGTCTGAAATTACTTGGGAGGAAATAGAAATCAGTTCATTCTGATTTGCACTTACATTTAGAATTATTTTCCCAACCTACAGAAATAAATAGATTCAAATGCATCTTTCCTTAAATGCCTTATGTTCTTCTTGGATTAAGTCAGTGGTGTTCAACCATTTTTTAACTGCACAACATTTTCTTCAAATGCAGAATTTTATGATAACTCAATAAAGGAAAAATATTTTTAAAAATAATTACTCTGATGGAAATTCGGTATGGGCACAAAACCTACCCACTGACGATTTTGCTGTTTGTAAACATTAACTCTTTGGCATGGAAATCATAGGAGCACAATTTAGAAAATACTGAATCAGACTGGGCGCGGTGGCTCACGCCTGTAATCCCAGCACTTTGGGAGGCCGAGGCGGACGGATCAGGAGGTCAGGAGATCGAGACCATCCTGGCTAACACATTGAAATCCCGTCTCTACCAAAAACACAAAAAATTAGCCAGGCGTGGTGCCGGATGCCTGTATTCCCAGCTACTCAGGAGGCTGAGGCAGGAGAATGATGTGAACCCGGGATGGGGAGCTTGCAGTTACCTGAGATCGCACCACTGCACTCCAGCCTGGGCGACAGAGCGAGACCCTGTCTCAAAAAAAAAAAAAAAAAAAAAAAAAAAAGAAAAAAAGAAAGAAAATACTGAATCATGTGTTGTGTGCTAACTTTAACAATCAAGTATTTATCTGTAACTTTCAACAATAACTTCAAGTTTTGTTCTGCATCATGTGTAAACAAGGGAGAGCTGAAATTTTAAATAGCATTTATTTAATTCTGTCACCAAATTTCAGATTCCAAATAAAAAAAAATTATATAATACATATTAGTGTCTGAAAACTTTGATATATTTTCATGCTTATTAGTATCCATGGAATAAAAGGAGCTTCCATTATATTAATAGATCACCTAAAAATTGAACAGAATAACTATATTTGTTTTAATAATTACATATTTTAATACATTTCATATTTTATATGTGGTTTTTAAGTTAAACTTGAACTTGATGGAACTTGAACTAATTTTTCCAGCTGCCCTGTAGCTTGCTCATATTTGTCCTTTTAAAATGTTTTGCTGTGACTATTTTGTTTTCTCTACCTGCCTTGACTTTATTTCATGCAGCTCTGGTGAGTTTAAAAACAAAGAAAAAACCTCCTGGACTTGTGGTTTTCCTGCTTGCTGAAAACAAGCAAAGCAAAAACACACAAATAAACCTCTTATGGATTGCTACAATTATGAATCGTTCTTTTTGGTAATTAATTTTTATCTGAAATTTCGCTCTATTAAGAGTTCTTGAGGCAGTTTTTATAGACTACTTTTTTTTAACACTCATTCTTAAGAAAGCCACAGATCTCTATAACTAAATAAACTTTTCTTCTTCTATTCTTAGAGAGGATATGGTTTGATTCCGTGCATAGCCCCCTAAATATATTTTGTCATAGTCCCAACACTTGTTAAAGACAAATGAATAGAGGCTTGTTTGCAACTGATATAACTGTAGGAAAGCCAGAGTCATTCAATTTTCATTCATTGCATGAAAAAAAAAAAGAGGAAGAAAGAATACTTCTATCAGGCCGCCTCCTAGGAACAGGTGCACGCAAGTGCAAGAACAGGCTCATAAAGCTTGCATTCCATTGCTTTGCACTCAGCACGCACCGAGAGGTAAGCATACAGGATGGAGAGGTGGGAAGCAATCTAGGTGAGTGCTAGTTTAAATATGGTGGCCAGAGAGGGCGGGCAGGAAAGTGCCTTGTGAGGGGCTCTGAAGTCAGACAGGGAGATGTGCTTCTCAGGCAGGTGGTCATTGCAAAGGCCTTAGGGCAGGAACATAGGTGCCCTGGCCCCAGGAAGCAGTGTGGCTAGACCCAGTGAGGAAAAGAGGAAATGGGAGCCAAAGGAGGTGGAGGATGAGGAACAGAAGAAGCCAACATTCCAGCTCACATAATGCCTTTCAGGGCCTGGTAAGCTTTGGTTTTATTATGAGTGGTGATTTGAGTAGTTCACAGCTTTGAATAGAAAATATATAGAAGGCATGTTCTATGAAAGTGGGCATCAGTGCTTGATTTCACTGAGAAATAGTAAAAGTCGTGGCCAGGCTCGGTGGCTGACACCTGTAATACCAAAACTTTGGGAGGCCGAGGTGGCTGGATCACGAAGTGAGGAGATCGAGACCATCCTGGCTAACACGGTGAAACCCCGTCTCTACTAAAAATACACACATACACACAAAAATTAGCCGGGTGTGGTGGTGTGTGCCTGTAGTCCCAGCTACTCGTGAGTCTGAAGCAGGAGAATCGCTTGAACCCAGGAGGCGGAGCTTGCAGTGAGCCGAGATCACGCCACTGCACTCCAGCCTGGGCAACAGAGTGAGTCTCCATCTCAAAAAAAAAAAAAAAAAAAAAATAGGAAAAGTCCTGGATTCTCTCAGCGACAAAAGAAATATGAATGGTGATATAAGCCGTAATAAATAGTGGTGAGTTCCTTCTGGTTCCAGTCTGGACTTCATTTTATAGAAATCAGATATTCTGACATTGCCATCTGCATGTGCAGATTAAAAGGAAAAGGACATAAACAAGTGCTGTTCCCTCTCTTGCTTACCTATGGATTTGACAAGGGGAAGGATCAATTATAAATAAAACTAACATCCCAAGAATATTGCCATTATTTATTTATTTATTTATTCTGAGGCAAGGCCTCACTCTGTCGCTCAGGCCAAGTGCAGTGGGGTGATCTTGGCTCACTGCAACCTCTGCCTCCCAAGTTCAAGCGATTCTTCGGCCTCAGCCTCCCAAGAAGCTGGAATTACAGGCATGGACCACCACACCCAGCTATTTTTTGTATTTTTAGTAGAGACAGGGTTTCACCATGTTGGCCAGGCTGGCCTCAAACTGCTGACCTCAGGTGATCCATCCATCTCAGCCTCCCAAATGCTTTTCATTTTTTGTTTATTCCAGAGTCATGATCCTGTGGGTGAATGATCCTTACTCCTGCGCACAAAGTCAATATATTTCTGTCCCGGAATTCTCAGCAACTGCATGAGAATGCACCCAAAAATGTCATGGGGAATTTGCAGTACATAAATCATCTGTGGTTGATATGTGAATATCAAGTCTCCTCGGACATGGTGCTTTCTGTTGCATCTGTTGGGAATGCTCTTCCTCCAGCTCATTCCTTGAATAGTTCCTTTTTTTCAAATCTGTCCTAAATATTGTGTTTTCAGAAAACCCTTCTCTGCTCATTCTAGTAGAGAATTAGTTTTCGTATGTATTGAATGAATAAATTAATTAACATAAATGCATGGTTCTGCAAAGTCAACTTCTAAGCCAATTCCCAGTGATTTTGGCAGCCAGCTCCTGTTCATGGGGACCAGGGAATTAAAAGACAGTGCTTATGCTAGCAATCCGGGGTCTGTTAATGCCAAGTGCAAATGAGATTCTGACACTAATTATTCTGATGTTAATGTTTGCTTGTATACAATAACTCACTTCCACATATTTAGCTGAAACAAATCAAATGAGGGAGTCTTGAAAGTTCTTCTGTTGTTTGAAGTGGGAAGAAAGCACCAAATATAGTATCCATGGGAGACACCCTATGTTCTCTCAATTGAGAGTGAATTTATGACTGCAAACCTTATAATACCATGTGGAACGTCCTTACACAATAAAAGACAATTCAGAAAATAAAGAATGAGCCAATTCGTTGAGAAAGGCAAGTGTATCGCCACATGATTTGAAACTGGAGATAATTCAGTGTTCATGTCGGCCACCATGTTGAGACAGTGGCCCTGCAAAGCACTTGTCTGTGTCTAATTGGTTGCAGAGGGAGTGACCACCCGGCCACGTGTGTCTGTTCAAGGAGCCGGACCCGCCCCTGCATTACGTTTTCTGCAAGTACAATGAATGTCTGTAGGCTTGAAACTTTTTTTATTATTTTATTTTATTTTCTATAAGTTATTGGGGTGTAGATGGTGTTTGGTTACATAAGTAAGTTCTTCAGTGGTGATTTCTGAGATGGTGCACCCACCACCTGTGCAGTATGCACTGCATCATATATGTTGTCTTTTATCCCCTTTCCCCACTCCCACTCTTCCCCCCAAATCTCCAAAGTCCATTATATCATTCCTATTCCTTTGCATCCTCATAGCTTGGCTCCCACACATCAGTGAGAACATAGGATGTTTGGTTTTCCATTCCTCAGTACTTCACTTAGAATAAGAGTCACTAGGGAGGCTGAGGCTGGCAGATCACGAGGTCAGGAGATTGAGACCATCCTGGCTAACACGGTGAAACCCTGTCTCTACTAAAAATACAAAAAATTAGCTGGGCATGGTGGCGGGCGCCTGTAGTCCCAGCTACTCGGGAGGCTGAGGCAGGAGAATGGCGTGAACCCGGGAGGCGGAGCTTACAGTGAGCCAAGATCGCGCCACTGCACTCCAGCCTGGGCAACAGAGTGAGACGCCATCTCAAAAACAAAACAAAACAAAAAAAGAATAAAGAATAATAGTCACCAATCTCATCCAGGTCAACTTTGTAACCTAACCAGCTGAATCTTTTTAAGAAAGTGACTATTTCATACACAAATTTATTGAAATCTAAAATATATTGTAGAATAGTAAAATGAAGGAAAGAAGGAAAATCCCAAATAAATATGTTTTGTTTATAATACCAAATTAGGTTGCTAAAAATACTACTTCATTTTTATGTTTTCATTGTTGCTGAATATAACACAAAAATCCAGATATATAATAGATAAATTAGGCCATTTTATTTTACTATAAAATAGCCTTTCCTTTAAAAAAAAAAAAAAGATTCATGGCAGAATTTATTTTAAAACAAAAACAACAGCATCTCTAATATGTTTTAAATATATTGTTTGTGGATATACTCTCTCAGAAACACATAAAGTTCTACACGTACTATGATTAAGAATTCCCAAGTTTCATTCATTATTCATGAATGTTACTGGGATGTTTTTTAGATGTTAAACTATTTCTTGACAAAAGATTGAAGGAGTTTTTAAATCCCTCATAACAATTATATTACTATAATACCACAATTATATTAAAATGTTTATATTTCTTAGTCTTTATAGTTAACTTGAAATATACATATGTATACAGCTTAACGTAGATAAATTTGTTCTGCTTTTTCACAGATCAGACATTATACCCTTTTTTCTGTTTTACTATAGAGTATTTATGGTGATTAATTTTAATTTTATTTAGTTGATCATATATTTTCTGAGTCTCTGAATGTTTTCCAGTTGATGGTTTTTTTGTTTTGTTCTGTTTTCTAAAAAAATGAAAAACATTTCTCTTTTGGTAGCTGTGAAAGAGGAACAAAAACAAACATTTTATCACACGTTTTGGATGTGATTAAATAGTTCACATAATGACCTTGGTAGAATATCAGACACGTACAATATACTCAGTAGACATCAGACCCTAAGTTGAGTAATTTGCCGGCGTATATGAGCCCTCTCAGTGTCACTCGCCTGTGTTGGTAAATCGCCTGAAGCACTGTGTTAATGCATGTTGATATTAGGAACATACAACTAGATCAGTTTTACTCTTCGTATTTATGTATTTTCAGAATTTATCTTTTTAATGTATATTAGAAGGCATTTCAGTGTTGTTTTAATTTGAATGCCTATCATAATAAGAAAGATTGAAACTTCACCTGTGTTTGTTTTTAATTTTGGTTTGTTCTAGAATTCACTCTTATTTAAATTGCCATTTAAAATCTTTTTTTCCCATGTATCTGTTTGTGTCTTGTTATTTACTTATCTATTTATTTATTTATTTATTTGTTTGTTTTTTTGTTTGTTTGTTTATTGAGACAGTGTCTTGCTGTGTCGCCCAGGCTGGAGTGCAGTAGGGCAATCTCTGCTCACTGCAAGCTCCACCTCCCAGGTTCACACCATTCTCCTGCCTCAGCCTCGCGAGTAGCTGGGATTACAAGTGCCCGTCACCACACCCAGCTACTTTTATGTGTTTTTAGTAGAGAGGGGGTTTCACCATGTTAGCCAGGATGGTCTCGATCTCCTGACCTCGTGATCCACCCTCCTAGGGCTCCCAAAGTGTTGGGACTACAGGCATCAGCCACCGCGCCAAGCCTGTATCTTGTTTCTTAAAATACAAAGCAAGTAAGTATAAATAATATCCCCCTGCTGTGTTGTTGCAAATATTTTTTTATTGTGTTGTTTTTATTTTTATACATTTATTTTGAAAAAATTAAACAGGTAGATTGGTTTACTTATAAAGTTATTTTTGCTTCCGTAACATTCACAGTTTCTGTTTAGTTGAGATAATGCTTAATTTGAGACCATATATTATATTTTAATGTAACAAGTTACCCATTATTTAATACATTCAAACATTTTAATTTGTGTAACAGGTATTTTGTATGAGGGAATTTTTAAGTTGATATTTTAAAACTTTCTATTCAGTTCTTCCAATATACTTTGTTAAATAATGTCTCTTCACTCATCATTTATGATGTACATTTAATCATATTGGGTCCTTGTAGCACTCCACACTGCAGGGATAATGGTTCCCATTTCTGTCAGCAAAGCTTTTATCCTTTAGCGATATGTGGGAGCAATTTAATATCTTTAGCAGCTAAACTGGAAGATAAGTTCACAAGTAAATATTATATCAAAAATTAAGTAATTAATTTTTCTCAGTCGAAATGGGCTTTGAAAACTGTTTCCTCTGTGGCATTATTTATAAAATTGATCATCCTGTAGAGCTTCATAGATCTAAGAGGAAACAAACTGATTTATTTTTAAAAATGTTTTGCTCATCAAACATATTAGTTAGGTAGCTCTTCTTCAAATGCTATTATGTTTAAAATGTTGCTGTTTAGAAAGTAAAATCCCTTACAAAAATAGCGGAGAAATTAAGAGTTAAAAAGTTTTGTTAGAGAAGTACTTACAGCACTATAGCAGGTGCTTTCAAACACAAACACACACATACACACAAACACACGCACACACATGCACACACACTCACACACACACACTCACAGGCACCAACACTAATTTTGCCTCATTCTGTGCTAAAGATTTTCTGTGATTTAAGCATTTTATCCCATGAGTACCATGAAGTTTTTTTGTTTGTCTTATATGTGTAATATTCAATTAATCAATCAGACTATCTTAATAATCTTCTACTATATTTTATGTGGAGTGCTATACAAACAATTCTAATATATCTTGCATATATTATTTTGGCCTGATTCTAACTGTAACTCATTCCGGAATATTCTATGGACATTAACATATCTACTGAAGAAATGCAATAGTCATAAGGTTTGGGAATTTTTTTTTTCCTCTGTGCTACCTTAATTGTTTTTTTCTTCATTTTATTTGACTTTTCTATTTTGCCTTCTTTATGTCATCTACTCCTTTCCCAACAAAGTTACCCTTAAATTTCACCACTTGTCTGTTGCAGTCAGTGCTCTGGTCTTACCTGGATTCAGTGAGCCTAGTACTCATGCTGGCCCAGTGAACTATGGGTCTCCATGATCCACTCATTCATCAACGGAAATTCTAGGAAAATGTAGATAGTAAGTGTCTAAGATCTTAGACTCAGGGGACTCAAATATTAGACAGGGGCATAACATTGCAGTTTATCCAGCTCAGCCACTGGCATTTTAAATAGAAGGAAACTGCATGGCAGTGAGGTATGCTCATTTGATCAGGGTTGGTACTCAGGGGTGGGCACCAGCACAGTTCTGTCAGCTGTTAAAATAAAAAAGAACCCTCTTTTACCAGTTAACTCATATCCACTACCCGGAGCCCTACAAACTCCCTAGACACCTTCTGCAGGTCATCGAACCTTCCAGCAGTGGAGAAACCAGGGGGCTAATGGCTGCAGGGTGGGGGCCCTGGACTCTGTCCTGGAGCTATGGCTGGTGTCCCTGTTATGTTGGCTGCCTGTAAACACTCCTGTCAGATAGGTTTAAATTCACTTCTGGTCAAGGTTACTGAGAGGTTTTCCCAGAAGAATCGGTTAAGCTTCTTATTCTATACACTTGTATTCTATGTTTATTCTATACCATGCACATAAATACGACTATTTCAAAGCTTTTTAAATAATAGAAAGTGATTCAGCTCATCGACTGCCATGACAAAAATTCATAATCATTTGATGTCAGTTTTTTTTTTCCTTTTTTTATTTTCCCCTCTGAAACATTGAAAGGGGGGATTTCTTGCCAACAAGGTGAATTATGAAGAATGTATGTAGTTTCAGCAGTTGGATTTCAATTAATATGTCATTAATCTTTCAACTACATCATTTTGGTAACGTGGACTTTGATAATTTTCTTTTAATTCCACACATCTATGATATTTTATCTTCTTAGGTAATAAAGGTATTAGAACTCTTTTCTTCTGCATCTGTGTTTACATTGAGATGCCATAACTTTTGTAGTATATAATGAATTCAGAGAAAAGAATAAAATCTAAATATTAAATAAAATTATATATTTATACATGAAAAACAATTATTACTCTGGAAATATTAATGTGTGTGATATGTTTATATAGAGTTATTTAATCAATAATAAAAGTAAATATCTGTCTCTAGTGATCCTGTTTACCTCATCCCTTTATGAAGGAGATATTTATATTTGCGTTTAAAGAAAAACAACGTAGAGTATGAGTCACTTTTAGTTGTTAACCTGATTCACCATTATCCCAACACAAGGGGCTTAGAGCTGAATTCTGCCCAATATCTGAATCTCAGTAGTAGCCACTGTATTTTTCCTCATGGCTGGAATATGTTCTTCCTCTTATTTTTATATGGTACTGATTTTTATCTCTGTTCAAAAATACAATTTTGACAGGGAACTGTATATGTATGATCACATTCCCAGTAGCTCTTCCCAAGAATGTAATAAAAACTGTGGCGAGCTGGGCAGTTGTGCAGCTGGTTCTCAGTTGACCAGGGAAGTGTGTGTGCTTGCACAGTGGTGTCCACGGAGGGCGGGGGGCAGGAGAGACATTCGGCTGTTCCCAAGAATGTAATAAAAACTGCGGCGAGCTGGGCAGTTGTGCAGCTTGTTCTCAGTTGACCAGGGAAGTGTGTGTGCTTGCACAGTGGTGCCCACGGAGGGCGGGGGGCAGGACAGACATTTGGTAGTGGGCACAGGAAGTACTTTTGCAGTTTTCAAATTGTAGTATACACACAGTTATTTTTATTCGTGTTTGGTTTTACACTTTTAAAAGGAAACACTACCGTGGTAGCATAATTTTTATAATCTGTGCACTTAATAATTATTAATCTTAAAATAAATTTGGGATCTAAAAAATGAGTTTCCTGAGATGTCCTACAAAACATGGGCAGCCCTTTCCACAACGTCACGTGCTTTGGATGGGAGTCACAGACTGGCTAACTATTAAAACATGAGAACACCCATCCCTCATGTAGTCTTGATTTCGTTCATACTTGAAGGTAGTAATTTTCCTCCAAGTGTACCTCTCAAAGACGTCCATTCTAAAGCTGCCATTAGCATTAGTTGACATAAACAGCATGAGAATGCCTAGTGTGTAGACCAGCCTGGCATCCCGTAGGAAGGATGGGAAATGCAATACTCCAAACTCCGGGAACAAAAACCGTGTGCTGTCAACTACCCCTATGCCCCTGGCATTCTTCTGAGTAAACTGAAGGCAGCTAATTTGAAGGGACCTATATCACCCTCTTACTGTTGCCGACAAGATTGGTTCTATTTTGACGTTTTTGTGAGGCTTAGATCCTGCCAAAATAAAACGAACATCGCTGAAAGATGAAAGAAATATTGGAACTTGCAACTTGGGAAGAGTTAATAAAAGGAGGTCATTTCCTCTCACTTCGGTATAATTTTGGTGGAGAGAGGGTGGGTAGGGTCGAAGATATGCACTTTGTAAGAGCTCAGGCCGGTCACACAACCTCTGCTTACAGCAAACTCCCCCCATCTTGGTAACAGGCTGACTTTTACATATCATCCACATTGCAGTATCAGAATTAATGACTGTTAAATATATATTATGGATAGGAAGTATTTGAGGAAAGAAAGAAAAAGAAGAAAGAAAAGGAAGAAAGAAAGGAGGGAAGGAAGAAATTTTAAAAAACATGCTTTAAAACATGTTATTTTAAAATACTTCTCTCTCATATATGTAATTTATATATATAACATAGCTATATATAGTATATAAAGTATCATATAGTTTATATGTTATTTATATATAAACTATCATATAGTTTATGTTATTTATATATAAACTACCATATAGTTTGTTATTTATATATAAACTACTATATAGTTTGTTATTTATATATAAACTACCATATAGATTATATGTTATATATATCAACTATATATAGTTTAAAATGCATATAATATTTTGTAATAGATAAAATAAATGTAACAAAGAAGCTTTTTTACTCTATAGCAAACTTACCAAGATCTGTTTCCTTTCTAACCAATAATTTTTTAATTGTTAGTTTCTATTTTAAATGCACTTTTATCTTTACTGGCCTTTCACTTATCACTTTTCTAAGATATTCCATTTTAAGTTTCATGTAACTGTTTTCTACTCAGAACCTTTTTATGAGGTGATGTGCCTCTTTTATGTTACTCAATAGCTATCTGAAATTCAAAACCCAAATTAATCCCAAATTTATGGAAAATAAATTTAAGACAACCATTTCTTTTAAGAGCACAGTATTCTCAAAGCCAGGTATCCATGAATAAACGCCCACATGTTTTTAAGTCTCAAAATGTTGCTTACATAGTGTCATCTTCCAGGATTCGGAGAAAATCTCTGAAAATCTTGTTAGGCTGCCTATCAATGTCAGGTACATGGCAACTACACTTTCCATGTTTCAGAAAAGCCACCGTTTCCATCTTTCCCGCAATGGCCATTCAATTAATAAGATAATTTAAATGTTAGAGTCTTGTAAGCCTTTTCATAGAACTCATTAACATACCAAAAGATTCTTTTTCAGATTGAGTGTCTCAATTTTGGGTTCAGAAAATATTTGTCGCTGATCAAGAGTGACACTTGGTGGACACACTCGTGTATGAAAACCATCCTGAAATGTGATGCTTTCTTTCTGCTTTTGCCCCTGCAGCTGAGGGAGCCTGCGGAGGAACCTTACGCGGGACCAGCAGCTCCATCTCCAGCCCGCACTTCCCTTCAGAGTACGAGAACAACGCGGACTGCACCTGGACCATTCTGGCTGAGCCCGGGGACACCATTGCGCTGGTCTTCACTGACTTTCAGCTAGAAGAAGGATATGATTTCTTAGAGATCAGTGGCACGGAAGCTCCATCCATATGGTAAGTCCCGGGAAGAGATGCCACAAAGGATACAGGTGTGTTTTCCCCGTTTTTTCCCCCAACGAGCTTCAAGAATTGCTTGTCTCTGGACGTTCATGGGCAAGCATGTGTGTTCCTTTTTTCGCCTTGCTCTTTTGGCTCTGGAAAAGTTACCTTTACTGTGAGTAATTTCAAAGTTTCTAAGATGTCTTTGTGCTGGTGTTTGGAGCTCGGGAAGTCATCTGTGTGCTTGAACTTGTAGTGCTGTCATTTTTGGACTGTTTTAAAGCAACCAAGTAAGGTGAGTTAGTTTTGGGTTTGGTCTGAAGCTGTTTCACTGTGAGCAGAGATTTTTAGATTGTGTATTTTCTTTTATCTCACGTTAGCGAGAATTGACAGACTGCTGCAGATATATGATTGTGCTTTCCTTTTTCTTCGTGAAGACTGTGTACCACATTCTGTAGCCACCTGTGGGGAAGTGCCCGTGGCTACAAGATCCTCAAAGGCAAAATAACTTAACACACATCTTAGTCCACTATATGTATAAAATTAACCGCAGGGTGGTCAGTTCTCTGGTGTGTACCCCAGTAGAGACAAAGGAAAACAAGATCTAATGAAGTACCGCCTATTTAGGAGTGATGGTCGTGATTGCAAGAATAGTATCGTTTGTGTCCATAAGTGCCATTTGAGAGACTTAAAAACATAGCATAGATGTTTAAGGCCTTAATTTCTATCTTGAATTAAGTCATTTGTTGCATGTAAAATTGTGTTATTGTTTTTATTATTTTAAACCTGAACACTTTAAAACTGCTTCAGTTATCTGTTTTAGATCTTGAAATATGACTAAACAAGAATGGGTATGTTGAAACTCAGGTAGACACAGAGGAAATGTTGGCCATTTATGAGTAGGAAGAGGGGAATATGGAATGAGTGATTGTGAACATGTCGGCAGGTTGCAGTTTGCATTTTAGTATGAAGGCTACCAGACAAACATGTCAAACATGAAGCATATTGTAAATATGAGCACCTGTTTTAAACCGATTATTGGAATTGAATTGAGTTGCACTTTGTTTTCCAAATCACAAGGCTCAATGCTGATGATTCCTATTCATGGAGAAGTCCTTTCCTGGTTGATTTTATTGTGCTTGTTTTAAATGTTATTTCAAATAGGAGGGAGGAAGAAACCAAACAAATTCTACCTAGATTGTCTTTGTTTTCAATTTTTTTCATGCTGAACAACACTTTTAGATTAGCCAGGACCAATCTGCTTAATGTAGGTTGTATGACTTTAACTTTAAACACTCAGGAATTTGTTTAAATTATTACCTATCTCGCTATGTCTAACATTAGAGTTCATGGAAGCAAAAGCTGAGCCGAGAGGTGGATAACCTAAGTTATACCACAGGTTCTGCCAAAAGCAAATCCTTATGACTTCAGACAAGTCGATTTGTAAAAAGAGAGGCTGTGCTAAAAAAAAAATCTTAAAAATGAATTTATTAAGCATCTCTTTAGTACATATGCTCTACTAATCATTTAAAGATATTCAAGTGATCTCACCTCTTCCTAGTTTTAAAATTATTGTGGTTTTCAGAAAATAATTGAAGTATAAAATATATAGGGACTCATTCTCAGAAGTTATATGCTTAAAGTTAAAGGTCTTATTTTTAGGACAGTCCAGAGGTATTGGGCATTGACTGCACACCTTGCTAGTAAGATGTCAGGTTGGGAGAGAGGTAGAAGCAAGTGAGGCCGATTTGTTAGTGATTCTAGAACCTATGATCAGTGGCAGCTTTTGCCAAAGAAACTTAGTTTGTGTCAGAAAATACAGATCATGAGTGTGATGAGAAGCGTGTTCTGAAAAGTTGATGGGACCATTGTAGCACTTTATGGCAACAATTGATCATCCTTGTCATAGAGAGTATCAGCACAGATAGCCAGAGAGACTACCACTGTCTTCTTGGTGCCTGGATCCAGGCTGGAAGACATCTTCTACATCACTGGAATCTCTCTCTGTATTTGCTAGGGAAGCTGGTGGGAAAGTTATCAGTGGGAACTATGATCCTGTGTGCCTTCATGTCTAATAAACTCTGTTGCCTGTTAGCTTAGCTGCTCTCTTCAAATAGCCATGATTAGCCGGGGATAGAGTTGTATTTATACTTGTATTCTTGGGATGACTTATATTGTCCTATTTGCTTGGCGCAAAAGCCCTGTGGGGTCATTATTCTTACTATTGTCTACTATTGTCTCTTTATTATTGTAGATTTAAAAATAAAACTGAGATATGCAGAGGACAAGAGATGGCAAAGCTGATGGAGCCCTTGGCAGAGCTCAGGTTCAAGGTCTCTGACTCCACGGCATTTTCTTCTCTCTATGTATAGCCCCTCAGTCAGTGTAGTCCAGGTCTGAGCTTCAATGCCCTGTCAGAGAAGTAGAGTTTCTCTGTTTCAGGACTACAGGCTGGATCATAAAGCCTTGAACAGGTAACTGTCGGGGTAAAGATGGAAAAGCAATTTAGCATATGTCGTGGGTCAACAGAGTGTTTTGTGTGTATGTGTAACATTTAATGTTTATCATAATAGTCAAAAGAAGTATCTTAACACAGCCACAAGGACTACGTTTAAGTGGAACTCTCAGCTTTCAATGACTCTTCAGTGGAGGCTGAAAAGCAAAAGATGGTTCTCCTAAATAACTATGGAAACCTACAGGAGCACATTTAAAACATAAAACAGAATAATTTGAAGTACCCTTTTAAGGCCTATACAAATGCATAATATGATTTATCTTAAAAAGCCTATTATTTTACAGTAATTCTACAGTGACAGTCTCTGAAATATTTCATGAATCAAATTGGTGTATTTAAAAGGTTTCCCCATTCCCGAATTGCATAGACAGGGACGGGGAGCATTGTGGGTGCTGCGACCTCTTCCCAAGCACAGGGTCATTCCACAGAGCCAGGAGGGTGGTGCGAGTGACTGTGAGTGGAGTGAGGGCAGATACACATATGATCTTCCAATAATCTATTTTTAAAAAAGGGCATATAAGCAAGGGCACTCTCAGAAGAAGCTACTTGGAAAATTGTTAGGAACAATAATAGGATTAGCCTTATTTTCATTTAATTTGGAGTGAAATTACCCACTGAGCTATGTTTTAAGTCAGGGTTGCCATGGCAGCAGTGGAGGCAGTCTAAATATAGGGGATGATGTCATGTGCCAAAATTATCTTTATATTAAACATACGTTGGGTTCGTAATTTAAGCCTCATAGGCTATAGGTACATTAGTTGAAACTGACTTTTTTTTTTAACTAGTCGGATTCTAATTTCATGCAGGTTGGCTTCCTATCAATCCCTTGCTTTAACAGAGAGTTGCCATTTTGAGTTCACTTTATAGCATGGTCTAGTCATTATTTTTCTTGCAATTAGGAAGGATTTGTGTAGTGGTGAGACTAGCCAAGTGTTCTTTTTTTTTTTTTTTTTTTCTGAAGAGATTTGATGGTGTAGCCTATAACTTGTACTTCTAATAATATCAAGAAGAAAGAAAATTGATTTCATTTCTGAGTTCTCCCTCTATGGTTTCTAAATTAAGACATGATGGTTAACGGGATTAAGGTTGTATAGTCTTGGCTGGGAACACTGAGGGAGCATTTACTCCCTTTAAAATATGAACTTATATAACAAAAGAAACAGGCTTCCATACCCTTCTGTGACAGGGAATGTGTAGAGGATAGAGAAGGTAAGGAAAAAGAAAATAAAAATAAATGCATTGAAAATGTGTCCCAAAACAAATATAAATGCATCGATTCTTAACTTCCATGACTGAGCTTCAGCTCCCTGAGACAGAGCCTGGAAGCCTCAGTGTGCCTTCCCAAGCTGTCCACAGCTACCGATTTGGCCCCATCCTGGCTCCCTCCCTGCCAGGCACGCCCATCCCCTTGCAGTTTGCCCCTGTGAACCCATCCCTGTCTTTATGTTACTGGGCGTTTTCATCCCTGGTGCATTTGTTCAGCTGCACGTTTCCACGTGGAAATCGCCCACTGCCTATCTTTTGTCGATCCCATTATCATAATGCTTAGAGGGGCATGCAGAGTACCTGGAAGAACACTACATAAATAATGCAAGTGAAACAAACAGGTTGTGTGATCTCCCTCCCTGGAAAACATCAGCCATAATAAATGCAAGAACATTTCTTCCGCTTTGGATTAGGGCTGCCTTATGACTTCAAAAGAAACATCTGTTACTTTATGATTTTTTAAGGTGTAAGCTCTATTTTTCATGAACCAGCATAACTTGACCCTTTTGCCTATCTGGTGTATGGAAGTTTACAAGGGAAACTCTGGGGTGACAGTTTTGTAACCTTAGTTTATTTTGTTCCTGTTAAACCAGCACAATTTTACTATTAAGTCAATCTAATTGGTGACTGGCTAAAGTTAAAACAAAACTTCAGAGAAATGGGGAAAGCTGAGTGAATTTCAAAGAACGCTTGAATGGGTCAGTTAATGCTTCCAGTGTTTACCCAACTTGTCACTTAATTGATAATTGACTTGGTGTCTATTTAATTTCTAACCAGGGAGAATTATAGAGGAACATGCTGAGTAACAGACTCCCTGAAATCAATCCTTCTCTCACGTGCCCCAAAATTAAAGGAAGGAGGCATCATGTTCTCCCTCCTCATGTTGTTATTATTTTGAATTCATTTTACAGAAAATTTGCAGCACTAACACAGAGAGTTGCTGTATATCCTAAACCTAGCTTCCTTCATGTGAACATCTTACATAACCATAGTGTAATTATTGGCACCAAGAAATTCATGTAGCATCAGTGCTGCTAACTCATTTTCAGACTCTGTTTGATTTCCTCTGCCTTTTCTACTGATGTCTTTTCTGGTCCAGGGCTCCAGCCAGGGACCCACAGAGCATTTGGTTTTGCCTCCTTGGCCCTGTCCAACTGTGGCCGTTTCCATCTTTCTTTGTTTCTATGAACTTGACCTATCCCATGTTAACAATTCAATCTTTTGTGAGAAAAATGGCTTTGGAAAAGCAGTGACATCGTTTATGAATATGGAGGAGACCACGCAGCAATGCTGCAGTGCCACCAATTAAAATGGGCGAATTGTTTTTTGTGCTTTCCTTTATAATTTTTTAATGTTAGTACTGGGTCTCCTTCTGTCACCCAGTGTGGAGTACAGTGGTGCTGTCATAGCTCACTGTAGCCTCAAACTCCTGGACTGAAGCCATCCTTCCACCTTAGCATTCCTTGTATCTGGGACTACAGGTGCAGAACCCTGGCTAATTTTTAAAACATTTTTTGTAGACACACGGACGTACTGTGTTGCCCAAGCTGGTCTCAAAATCCTGGACTCAAGGAATTCTGCTGGCTCAGCCTCCCAAAGTGTGGAATTACAGGCATGAGCCACAACAGCCAGTCCCATATTTTCTATCTTAAATTTGGATTCAGTAATTTTATTTCACAAACCTGTTGTAAGCTATGCACCTCAACACTTATTTTTGTTTTAACTTCAGCCAATCACTGATTAGATTGATTTAATAGTAAACTTGTGCTGGTTTAACGGGAACAAAATAAGATTACAAAACTGTCACCCCAGAGTTCCCCTTGTAAACTTGCGTACTCCAGGTAGGCAAAAGGGTCAAGTTATGCTGGTTCATGAAAAATAGAGCTTAGAAGTGTTGTTTTTTAGAAGTGTTTAGTATAGCATAAATGGGAAATAAATATGAATGTAAATATATTTATATATATCTAACAATAAAAATATATATAATATATGTACATACACACACACACACATATATATACACATTTCTCCTTTTCTTGATACTCTGCATACCAGCTGAAGGTGTAGGGATATAATTAACATGATATTGTAGCTCTATTCATAAACCCCTGCTTTAATTAAAATGCCATTTCTATGTTTTTTCAATAGTGTATTTTTTTTGTAAAAAAACATTTAATAATCACCGAGTGTTTGTTATATAACAAGAAAATATAAACAATAGTTGCTACTGCTACTTGGAGATACTACTATTCCCATTTTATAGATGAGAAAAATAGGCTTCAAAGTAGTTAAATATTCAACCATCCAAAAAGCAAAGAGGCAGTGTGGAGACTTGAAGAGAGACAGTCCCAAGGTATATTTCCTCCTCCTTTTAAAAAAGTTGAGACCACATTTCATCGCTAATTTCAAAACAGGAAGATGGAAGCAGTGTGTCGGCACTCCACTCTCATCCTAGAATTTCTTCAGCAACCTTCTGCCTTAGTGCATACAAAGAAAGTGCCCTCCACTTCTAATTTGTAGTCATCTCTGTTACTGTGTGGTGGAGTCATCACTAGCTACTCTTACGTGTTTCTTTCCAGCATTATTCACTAGACAGTAATGTAATCATCTTAGCATACTTGCTTGTTGAGCATATTTCTGGGTATAACATAATGATAGATATTATCAGGCTTCTAAGAGGACACATGAATGACAAGCTGATGTTACCATGAAGCTGTCGCATAAAGATGTGACTAAACAGGGTTATATATGCAACCGTGACGCACTGAAGTCTTAGGTAGGTGGAGAAAACTGGCCATCCCAGACTACGCCACAACCTAGGTACCTCCACCCTGAAACTCAATAGGCAAATAATGCGAACTTCTTTCAATACCAGCTAATTCTACTGTACGGATAATTTCTAACTTGATTGGTGGCTTTCTTTCACATGCCTTATCCTGGATATTTTTGTTTTCACCTGGGTGGATTAGGCACCCTCTCCACAATGTCTACTGTGGGGCCAATTTCCAGTCTCTACCTTTTCTCTCGGCTCGTGGCCAGGGATGAAGCCGCTGGGCAGCGAAGGAATTTCTGGGAAAGATGCTGCAGCCCCACAAGTGGAGTGAAGCAGGCAGGCTGTGTTTTAGAGGTTTTTGTCAGGTGTGTTTTTGCAAGACACATTTTCTCTCCTGTCCTTCTGAAAAGCATCATCTAGAGATGATGCTTTCACCAGGCAGTGAAGGAAGGGTCTTTCACGTCAGAATGGACCTCCAGGAGCAAAGAAGGTGGCTCTCTGTGAAGGGGCAGCTGCACTCTCTGATTCACTACCAGGAGCGTATACCCTAGGAATTATTTCCTGCCCTCCCCTCTCCTTCCTCATGAAAGGGATGGACTCACCAGCAGGTGCCCCTGCAACTCTGAGAAGCCATCGACTGTCTTATTGCCTAGAATTAAGCCTGAATTTGAGATTTCTTCACAAATTCTAGAAATAGCATTCTAGAGCAATCCTTTAATTCGGGTTAAGTAAATACCAGAGTTTCAATAAAGTTAAAAAACTATTTCAAAGAATACGTATTTGAAATTTGGGACACTTTTCTAATTTATTGAATGGTGGTAGCTATGGATAAAATGTAGTATTTTACCCTAAGATTCCATAAAATTGTCCAGACTGAGGAGTAACAGAGAAGAAGAAAACATCCCTGGTCTCTAAAGATGGGACCAATAGGAAAAATAGTTATCCCGGGAGAGAAGTCCCCGTCTCCATCCTTACCATTCTTAGGGCAGAGTTGAACTCTACAGTTCTGGTGTAATATTTCTCTCATGTCAGATTTCTCCAAATTAACCTCATTTTATTGAAAAATACTTTTCCTATAAATTATTTAAGCTGTAGGCAATGAAAAAAGAAGTCTTTTATGGATTAAAATGTATTTCATCAACTATGAAATACCTGTTGTTTGTAATCACACTTCTTTCTTTTTGTATGTGGCCCTTAATCCTGGAAACAATAAAAAAGTAAAACTAAATTAACGCTGTTAAATAAATTTCTCATTTAAAAACACTCTGCCTTCTGAGGGGCCATTGCGCCCACTCCATTTTAGTCATTCTCAAATAATGCTGCTTAACTCTCATTTATTCCTCAAATCAGCCAACTGGCACATCCTCGTGTTCCAATTGTACATTTTGATATCTTCATTTAGAGTTTCTCTTGAAGCCATGAATATCTAATTTTTCTCTTTCTTATGAAAGTTTGCACAATTTCATGGAGGACTGGTTAGGAGAATAAGGTAATTTTGTGCAATCCTATACTCCTCCAAAAAATGTGACATTTTGTTGCTTGGGTTACTTCCTGTTGGCACGTGCTATCCAAGCTTAATACATCCTTTAAATGAGTAGTGGCCTAGAACATTAGCGTTTCCCACCTATGACTTTAGTAAATACAAGTATCTAAGTTC